>NC_000011.10:33393333-33544848 GCF_000001405.40 Homo sapiens | reverse complement strand
AGTGCAGGTGGACTTGATTTCCTCAGAAACAATGTGACGGCAGCTGCTGCTGTTGGCTGTACCTTAGATGATACTGTGTCCGCTGTAAAGAGAGAAAAAACAAAGTTTGTCATTGGCTTGGAATGCACGTGTCACTTGTTCTGATGATGAATGGATGTAACTTATGGATTTGCTAGGGTGAAGTCTCTGCAATCTGGGCTTGCAGTGGACAGAACTTAGGCAAAACAACTCTAGGCTCATAAACTTGATTAACCATAACAAGAATGCCACTTACAGCACAGCTATGGTTGATAGCAAGGATGCTTACATTGTGAATAGTTTCGAAAGCTCAGGTGGGCACAGGATCAATGAGGTGACTACTTGGGGCTACTAACTCATTCCTGATCGGGGGTATGAGCTCCTTCAGAGCAAAGCTGGTATCTGCGTTGAGCTTGAAGATGCTTTGACCACAAAAGCAGTCATGCCTGTTTTGGGGGTACCGGGAAACAAACTACCTGCATTAGTGGCTGCACCTGTCCATTTCTTGGGGTGCTGAGAAGCCCGCAGCACTCTGGAGGAGGTCCTGGGAAAGACACTGGTCGATATAGAAGATTCAGCAGCAGAGTGATATCCCAAGATGTTCTGGAATGGTGTGGAAGCATTTCTCTCAGGTGATGAATTGATGTCACTGGAAATTTCAGAACCTGTATCTGTTCCATCTGAAAGCATTTCCTGCAAGCTACCTGTAGAAGTTGGTCCTGGTGAGGTTAGCAAAAGAGGATGTGCTGGCTGGTTGGGCAACTGTAGCTGAGGATGAGACACGGAATGTCGAGTTGTGGGTGAGTAATATGCAACTTCAGCTGTTTGGAAGTCTCTGGAATGGTTGTTATTGCTTGTGGGCCAGAGGTCTATATGGCTTCCAACCATGGTCATGTCTGACTGTTGCACAGGCTGCTCAATGCTTGTACCGAGGACTAGATCCTGAATACTAAACCCTTCTGCAGTCACTGAATGCCCAGCAGTATCTTTGAAATCCTGAGATTTTATGGCATCGGCAGCTGAAGTTAAACCATTGGGAGGAGCTGTTGGAGCTAAATGAGTTTCCCAACTTGTGGTGCTAATTGTGTGTCCATTTAAATCATAATTTGTTTGCTGCTGCAAGCCAGATATTATTGATTCTGTGGAAAGAGATCCAGTTTCTGCTGAAAGAGAACTCCAGAAAACATCTGTGGTTGCTGGCTTTTTCATGTCTCCTATTGTTAAGGAATCATATACATCCATGGAGGAGGGCGATGCTCTCACCTGTTTGGAAGCTGAAGCTGGCAACCCAGAATGGTCCACAGCAGCTGCATAAGCCTCTGGCTTGGTGCTGGAAAAGCCAAGAGATGGGAAAACAGTCTGGGTGGCTTGTATGGAGAGTATGGAAGGTAGAGGTGGTCCTGAAGGAAGGGGATTCGTCCTTGGTGCTGTAATGATGGGAGATGAGACACTACCGGTGCTGAAATCAGAGACAAATCCATTTACAGTGTGAAGACTCAAAACCTCTTTCCTTGGAAAGGCCTGGAGAGGAATCGTCACATTTGCCTCTTCATTCTTCCCTAAAATGGCTGTCACACTGTCCTTTTTCCACCGGGGAAATGTCCAAGATGTGGAAAGAAGATTAGGAACTTTGCTTGAGAGGAGCAAGTCTCTAGTTGCAGGAGGGGACCCATCACTGCCCTCTGCTGGAAGAGTGGGCATTTCTGGCACAGGAGATGGGGAGGCATGATTCTCTGTGGGCTGGAGGAAAGTAAGTATGGAGGGAAAGTCGGCTGTCCCAGTTGATGGTGATGCGGGAACCGCCCCAGAAAGGATGGCTTGCTCTTGACCCAGTGTGGTGATATGCAGAGAAGGCACCAAAGAAGAGGTGTGTTCTGCCGAAAGGGCGGGCCCTCTGGAATTCTCTGGAGCTGCTGACAAATGCAGCGGGTTAGCAGAGTCATTTGCAGTGGCAGAGGCTAGCTTTCTGCTGGTCATTTCTATGGCCCCTGATTCTGCAGTCTGGAAAAGTGGAGGCTCAGCCTCATGGGTCGCTGTTTCTGTATTCTTAAAAGTTGGCAAAGACACCCCATTGTGCACTCTTCCAGGCACCCCAGCTTTGATCTGCTGGGTGGATGCAGGACCTGAAGCCACTTCCAACATTGACCATGAGGGGCTTCCATCTGGAAGCTGAAGAAGACTTCCAAGTGCTGGGGGAGGGGGAGACGGATGGGACAGTTCTGCCATGGGGCTCAAAAACCCAGGTGTGGATGAACCTGCTGAATGGGGACCCTCTGTTGGGGACAGCTCGGAATGCCATTTTGTTGAGGATCCAGAAACACCTAGATGAGGGATGCCTATGAGATCCTGGGCATTTTGGGATGCAGTGTGGTCCATTTCATCAGAAAATGGGATTAAGGGATTAGCTATGTTCTGACCTAAAGAGGGGTCGGCTGGAGCTGTTTGGGGAACTAACAGCACTTTGGGGGATTGCTCTGCTGGCTCAGAGATGATGGAATGAGGTGAGTCAGGAGCCAATGAAGAGGATGGAGGTAGAGGGAGGAGTGGGGGAATGTCTGACCTTGGGGGATGCTTTGAAATGGAGGAAGTCCCTGCCCATACTGGCTGGGATGGGGGGACAGCACTGAAGGATGTCCCTGATGGGACTGTGGACAACGAGGGGAGCATGCTGGTGAGAGGCAAACCTGACACATCGGCTGCTTCTTGTCCCCCTTTAGGCCCCGGTTGGACCAGGGACTCGGTAGAATCCTTGGAAGGTTCGAGGGAGGCGCTATGTCCGCTTCCTTGGTAAAGGGAAGAAGAGAAGTCCGCGTGAGCCCTAGTTCTGTGGTGTGTCTTGGACGCAGGGGTTCGGGCTGACTGTGGCAAGCTTGTGTTGTCAGAGGACTGTCCCAGCACGGTCTTGATTCTGTCTGCTGCTGAGGAAGACCTGACTTCTGTGAAAGGCCATGTTGGTGAAATTGGTAACAATTTCCCGGGAGGAAATGACTCTGGAGTCCGGGTGACATTCATCTGTAGATTGTCTGTTCCTGTGAAACAAAATATCAGGCCGTCAGGTGTTGGATGCTCATGAAGTGCCTGCTGTGGTCAGGTGCTGGAGACAAAGGTGTGTGCAAGACAGGCTCTGCCCGGACCCATCACAGAAGGCTCAGGAAACAGAGTCAAACAACAAATTACATAATATCAAGTAGGAAAATGTTGCAGTGAACCTACAGGGCAGGGTTGGTGGGAAGCAGTTTCTGATGAAGTGATGCTTAAGGCAAGATGTTGAAAATACTTGTGTATTAAAAAATTGTTTTGGTACCACCTACAAGGCGTGGACTGTGAAACTTGCAAAGCTGAATGTGGTCAACTGCCATGGCCAATGACACCAAAACAACCTCATCCAGGAAACCAAAATGCACGAAACTAAAGAAGAACTGTGTATTCAAGCACGAATCTTTTTTAGGACCCTGAGGCATCTCATATGAAATATTTGAGGTTGTCTGCGTTTGGAAAGATGGCTCCAATGAAACATATTTATCTTCCTGGATTTAAAAGGATTCCAGGTGCTATCATTCATGCCATGTCAAATAGCAAAGGAGATTTTCTTTCAGATTAGGCTATTTCAGAAAGAAAAACCAGGAAGGAGACACTTCTCACAGGGCCTGGTGTCACTATAAGCACCTGCAGAGGCCAGAAATATCAACACTCATGTGTGGCCCCACAGGCAGACAGACAAGGAGGCAGGGCATAAGCTGGTGACCTCCGCTAAAAAGGAGGCGAGGAAACAACTCTTGGAAAGCTAGAAGTTCACTCTGAATTAGGCAATATTCTGAAAAATTCCTTTCTCATTCTTCCTTTTCTTTAAAATTCCCCATTCTTGGGGTTTACGGATACCCAAGAAATTGGCCTTACATCATTTTTAGAACTCATCAGGGTATAAGCCAATACTACATCAGGTTTGTTGACTTGATTTTATAAGAGAAACCAACTCCATCTCCTAGGCAGGCCGTAATCATATGCCCAGCTCAGCCTGACTGTCTCCTGATCACCAGATCAGGATCATTGGGGTGCTTTCTGAAGAGCCAAAGCTCCCTCTGGCCTCCACTGGCCCACCTCAAATAGAAATAAGTGATAAAATGCATATATAGCTCCAAGACACTAAAGTCTGCATAGTATTTCATTAAAATGCATGCCCTCCTTAGGAACTGCTTCATGGTTTGCAATGGAAATTGTGTTTCTATGTTACCACATGCAGCCTAAGGAGGTATTCCCCCCTCAGACACTTGCAATTTTACACAGAAGGTGGATGCTGCTTTCATGCCTCAATCCTCCCTGTTCATGTTGCTTATCTCCTAGATAGCCTCAATTTCACACTTTGCATGCAGTCTTATCTGGTTACTTATATGGGTAAATATAACATCTGTATAAGGTACTTTTGCATTTTTGTATTTTTCAGTTAAACTTTAGAATCCACTTTTATGTGGATGTCAGGTGAAATCTGTGTAGGATTTCTTCTTTTGTACCTTTGTTTAAATGGATTCAACCATGAGTCCAACTTATGGATTCAGAATCAAAACAAATTCATCTTGTTTCAGTTACATAGCCTTGTAACTCAGGAAAAGGATGCTACAGGCTGAGCAGCTTTTGCTTTCAGCAGGAAGTTTTGCAAACTCTTTCACACACACACACACAAAAATTCTGCAAACAGGATGGAGGAATAGGGGCTAATACCAAGGGATCTGTAACTGACTGAATGACCACGGCCAAGAGAGACTGATGGAAAACTCCATGCTGAAGTGAAGAAAGGCAGTCTCTAGTGGATTTGCTTCTACTGGACCTTGTTGTTTTCCACACTAGAAACTAGTGTTTCCCAAGATAGCTCCTATGAAACACAGTATTCCAAATGTCTCATGAAGAAAAGTTTCTATGAACAATCTTGAGAAGTGCTTGACATTCACATGTGAAAGTCATTAATGATGCTGACCATATCTTTCCGGCTCTCCCACTTCTAAGCCCATGGGAGGACTGAACGTCTTGGATACTTCTGTGGTTGATGGGGGCCATGTAACTAGTTCCAGCCAATGAGTTTGTAAGCAGAAATGACAAGTGTCACTTCTGGGCTAGAACATTTAAGTGCTGGAGGAAGACTCTCCGGAACTTTCTTTCTCCATAGCAAAACAAAACAAAAAGAAACAAAACCTAGCAACATATTTCAGGAAGTTGCTACTGAAAAACAGAAGGAGGAGGCAAAGAAAGAAGAGAAAGAAGAAAGTAGCAATGTTCAAAGTGTTTGCTGGTTCACCAGCCTGCATCCCCTATGGACTCTGCTGACAAAGGATATATAGGTAGCACAAGCAAGAAGTTAGCCTTTGCTATTTTATGTCACTGCAATTTGGAGGTTGTCATTGAAACATAATCTACCTTACCCTAACCTATTCAGAAAGTGATACCAGAGTAGATTTGGAATTTATGTGGGCATATTCCCATCATCATGTAAATAAAGGCTCAGAAAACTCTCATAGTCAAGAAAACATAAGAGGTATATAGTAAAAAATTAATAAATAGGATATTGGATGGTTTAATTAAACTTTGTTTAGCCAATATTTCTCAAACATATTTGACTGCTGCAATATGTTTGGGATATTTCTCAGAAATATTTAACCTCAGAATTGACTGACTTAAAAAAAAATGCTCAATGATCCACATAAAGCCAAGGGAGAAAGCATGTTCACTGAATTACCAAATGATGCCAAATTCAGAAGAACTGATTTGAAGAATTTCAGAAAAACATGTTTCAAAGACATGTCAACAGACTGAAATTATTACTAAAGGAAGACATATATTAGGATTAAACAGAAAGGCTTGCCCTTAGTCCAAAAATTACCTAGACAGGAACAGGACGGGGGCACTTCCCTTTAAGAATAGCCTATGCTATCTGTAGGCAGAGTTGACTAGAGTTCCTTATGAACTAAAAGAGAAATATAGGCCGGCAAGGAAATGACAAATCCTTAGGTTACATTAATTTTTTTTACTCTTTAACTAGAAGAATAGTTCATACTTAGAAAATAATATCTACATGTAAAATATCTATATGGAAGTATCTATATTTAGAAAATAATATCTATAGGAAATCAACACTCATGTGCCTCTTAGCTTAACAACAGAGTCAATATTTTTAGAGCCCTGTCCCTGGTATCTCTCTGGATTCCCTCTGTCTTTCTTCTCCCCAGAGATAACCACCATTATAGGTTGAATTTTTAAAAATTAGTTGATTTTCAAGGGGATCAGGTTCACCATTCTCTGCCCTACTCAGCGCATACCTGGTCAGCTGGGATGATTTCTGAGTGTCACATCTTAAGAAAAACATTAAGAAACTGATACGTGCTAGTACATGATCTTTTTGGAGGTGTTTTACATTATAAAAAGGAAAACGGTTAATAAAGGGAGAGTCCCCATTTGCACACTGGAGTGAGGAGATCCCTGGTGGTACTCAAAACTTCATGACTGAAAAAGCATATTGATATGGCTAGGCTTTGTGTCTCCACCCAAATCTCATCTGGAATTGTAATCCTCATAATCCCCACATGTCAAGGGAAAGACCAGGTCGAGGTTATTGAATCATTGGGGCAGTTTCCTCCACGCTGTTCTCAGGATAGTGAGTGAGTTCTCACGAGATCTGGTTTTATAAGGGGCTCTCCCCACTTCACTCAGCACTTTACCTTCCTGCCACCTTGTGAAGAAGGTGCCTTGCTTCCCCTTCACCTTCCACCATAATTGTAAGTTTCCTGAGGCCTCCCCAGCCATGCTGATCTGTGAGTCAATTAAAACTCTTTCCTTTATAAATTACCCAGTCTCGGGTATGTCTTTACAGCAGCATGAAAATGGACTAATACACATATCATTCCAAAGTATCAACTTTATTTAAAGATTTAGGGGAAACATACTCATATATAAAGATAAATATACATTCTTGAGTAGAATGCAAAATTCAAATGACTGATCCAAGATAAAACTAAGGCCTTCAAAGACATGTCTGTGCCTGTCACTGACCCTGGGGTATCAGTTTACCCTTCACTGTTATAGCAGGTATTAATTATGTCAGTAAACATTTGAAAAGACTGATTCAAGAAACCACAATCTCCCTAAAACATGTGAAAAAGAAACTGGATGTGTTATTTAGTGCTCCAGGGACAGAACTAGGGACAGTGGGAAGAAGGTATAAAGAGAGAGATTAGAACTTAATAATAACAGAACATTTCCCTAATTATTAAAACTACTGAAAACCAAATGAGCTGGCTTAAAGTCAGTGAATTCTCCACCATTAGAAATTCCCCAAAGTGCATATTTTAGGTTCACTCATCTCATCTCACCTTTCCTTCCTTCCTTTCTTCCCTCCCTCCTTTTCTACCTTCCATCTGCAAATGCCTGTTGTATGCCAGACACTGAGTTAAGCAACGTCTTAAGGAAAAACATACATGGTCTCCAGCTTCATGGAACTCACAGTTCTATGGGAGATATGGACACCAGCATTTTTCAAATGAAAAATGATGTTACAGATGAAAGATCCATAGTCCTGTGATCTGATCAGGGAGGTCAGAAAGCACATCCCTGAGGAAGTGACTATCAAGATCCAAAGAATGAATAAAAGTTAACCAAGCAAAGAGGGTAGGGAAAAGCATTCCACATAAAGGAACAAGCATATGCAAAGGCCCTATGGCAGGAAGAGGCATCACGAGTACAAGGAACTGATAAAAGGTAACCACAGCTAGATCAAGAACAGCAGGTGGGCAAGATTAAGGCTGCAGAGGGAGGCGACAGCCGGACCATTGCTCCAGTAGCCATCACCTCCCTCTGCAGCTTTGTAGGTTTTAGTTTGGTGGGGAGGATGCGAGCAGGTGATGCACAGGAGCAAATTTCTGTTTTGGAAAAACCATCCTGGCATGAAGAACAGACGGGAAAGAGACAATGGCTGATGGCAGAGTGCTTAGAAAACACCTGCAGTGGTCCAGGCTCAAGACGACGGGAATGTTGTAAAGAGGAGTTGAGCCCTGCATGGGAGATGGAAACAGATCCTCCTTTATGGTCCCTTTCAATTCTCAGAGTTCCAGATTCTATTATTGATTTAAATAGTTTGTGTTTACACATGCAATGTTTTGAGTTTTTTCTCCTTTATGCCTCCCATTAAGAGGTGGTGTCTATGTCCCCTCTCCTTGAATCTGAGTGGGCTTGAGTCTGTTTGACCAATAATGCCACGTGACTTCCAAAGCAACATCATCAAAGGCCAAGCCACTTTAGCTTGGTCTCCTGGAATGCTCGCTCTTGGGATGTTCCCTCTCTCTCTCCTGGAAGCCAGCCCCCACTCTGTGAGCAGCCCACACCACGTGGAGAGGCTATGCCTGACCACTCCAATCCACAGTCCCAGCTGAGCCAAGCCTGCCTGGCATGCCAGCCCAGACAACAGACACATGAATGAGGAAACCTCCAGACCATTCTTCCCCTAACCATTTGAATCACTCCAGCTGTCTGAATCGTCCCAACTGAGGCCCAGACATCATGAGGCAGGGAAAAGCCATCCGCACTGTGCCCTGTCTGAATTCCCAAAACCATGGGCATAATAAAATGCTTGTTGTATTACAGCACTGAGCCAGGGGTGGCTTGTTGTACTGTAATAATAACTGAAATAGTATATGTGTGGTCGTGTCCCTCACTTCTGGGAAATGAGTCTCTATAGCTTTAATCAGATTCTCAAAAGGATTCAGAAGCCAAAAATTGGTTAAGAACCCTTCACTTCAATGAAAAATAATTTTGCTTTATACATAAGATTTTAGAATTATGTCTACGCTAATTAGGTAAAACATATCTGTATTAATTAAAGTTGCATTATGGAAGGCCATAAGACAGAAACACAAATTTTGAGGAGGAAATGAGAGATAGCTGATGTTTATTAGGGAGAAGGAGAAAATAAATTAGGAGAAATAGGGCAAAACCAAATTACAGAGAACTTAAAACACACTTTAGGAAGGCACTGAAGTAAAAATTTGATCTAGGTGGTATGTCAGGCAGACTCTAATGTGACCCCATGATCTCCATCTCCTGGTGGTCATGCCTTTTGTGATCCACTCTCTTTGGGTATGAGGAGAACCTGTGACTTTTTCTTTTTTCTTTTTTGGAGGGGGGACAGGGTCTCACTCTGCCACCCAGGCTAGACTGCAGAGGTGTGATCATGGCCTACTGCAGCCTCAATCTTTTGGACTCAAGGGTTCCTCTCAGCTCAGCCTCCCTAATAGCTGGGACGACAGGCACGCACCACCAAGCCCAGCTAATTTTTGTATTTTTTGTACAGACGGGTTTCGCCATGTCACCCAGGCTGCTCTTGAACTCCTGGGCTCAAGTGATCTTCCCGCCATGACCTCCCAAAGTGCTGAGATTACCAGCATGAGCCACCATGCCCAGCCAACCTGTGATTTCTTCTAACAACAGAATAGGAGATGGGATGTAACTCTTGTGATTATATGATCATATATAATACCGCATATTGCAAGCAGACTTCTTCTTGGTGCCTTGATAAAGTAAGAGGCCACAATGGGAAAGCCCAGCTGGTGAGAACTGTGGGTGGCCTCTAGGAACTACTGGTGTCTCTAGGAACCATGAACAGCCTCTTAGAGCTGATAGCCAGAAATAAGTCAAAGCCTTCAGTCTGGCAGCCACAAAGAAATGAATTATGCCAACAACCTGAGTGAGCTTGGAAGTGGATTCTTCCCCAGCCAAGCCTCCAGATGAGAACACAGCCCAGCCAATACCATGTATGCAGCCCTGTGAGACCCTGTGCAGATAAGCTGTGTCCAGCCTCTCAACTCATGGAAATTGTGAGATAATAAATGTATGTTGTTTTAAGCCACAAAGCTTGTGGGGATTTGTCACATAGCAATAGAAAACTAATACAGGTAGGAAGCAGGGAGCTTTGGAATGTTGTATGGTGAAGCAGGAGAGTAGGAAGAAGGGAGATCACAAGGTATCATGACTAAAGAATGGTGAGAGTTTGCCATCAAGACAGTCAAAAAGCAGCACAAGTCAGTAAGTTTGTTTGGAACATCATAGAGAATGAGTCATGAAATAAAGATTGTAACATAGCACCTGAGACTTGGAGGAAGTTATTTAAAGAGAAAACAGAGCTTTGCAAGAGTAGAAACAAAACCACACCAGCAAACGCATTGAAATGTTGCTATGAAACAGGCTGTACTCTTATTTTTTAATTCCATTTTTCAAGAAAAAAAATACTAAGCCATTCTAGCCAAATTACAGAATTTTAGTTTTTATCAATAAACTTCCACTGACTCCCCAGTGTCTCTCCTTTCCCCCAAAAAACCATGACTTTCTTCTACTTAGACTAAATGACATGAATTACTGTTTGCTCACAAATACGGTAATAGTCTTCAAAAAAATTGTGGAAAGCGGCCAGGTGCGGTGGCTCATGCCTGTAATCTCAGCACTTTGAGAGGCCAAGGGGGAGCAGATGACTTGAGGTTAGGGGTTCAAGACCAGCCTGACCAACACGGTGAAACCCCATCTCTACAAAAAATACAAAAAAAAAAAAAATTAGCTGGGCGTGGTGGTGGGAACCTGTAATCCCAGCTACTCAGGAGGCTGAGGCAGGAGAATAACTTGAACCTGGGAGGCAGACGTTGCAGTGAGCCAAGATCACACCACTGCACTCCAGAGAGCAAGACTCTGTCTCAAAAAAAAAATTGTGGAAAGCAAAGGTAAATCCTACACATATGAGAGGGAGACAGACAGTAATGGTTTGCTGCACAAGCCCCAAACTGGCTGCCTTTTCTGAATGTTTACAATGATTGCCCAACCAGGGACAAGCCAACAATCCCCTTGTGTTTGGACCGACAGTATTTCCCACAAGGGGGAATTAGTCGTCTAAAGAATTTTGCTGGAAAGTAGCTTAAATGATAAGAAATTTAAGGAGGTGCTGGATGAGGAAAGATAGGAAACAGAGATGGATTTACGTTGGAAACAAGGGTGAAAGCAAGCAAGATAAAGACTCTCAAAATAATAAAAAGTTAAAATGAGTCATCCCTCCCATCTCAAGGAGACAAGAATGGGTAGTCATACAAAACCCTATTCAATACACAATTTATACACATACATTTTCACTAAGCTTGTCTGAGCCAGACAAGCTGAAATAAAACCATGATTCTCAGAGCTTCAGGAAAGTGACAAGTCACCCCAGTAAGGCTATCAGGCTTAATAACTTCCACAAATTAGGATCACGTGCATGTATGCACATGCAGGGTAAGTATCAAATGTTTTTCTGTGCTTTGCAAATTTGCATAGAATCCCATGAATGTTAAACTTAGCCTTGAACTAAACGCATCAGAGAGCAGTTTATTATCACTGTGAAACATAAAAGGAATTAAGAAAGTGCTTAGCCAGGTTTGGACACACAGAACCTGTTATTGACTAATGTCAAAAAACAGTGCAAACTGCCTCCTGAGACTCCCCACATCTCAGGAACCACATGCATAATGACAGATTGTTCAGGCCTCTGTCTTCCTGAGGCTCTTCGCGCTGCTAGTTTATCATTCTCAGTTCTTGTACACAAGACTCAGACCCGGGCTGTGATGCTGCTACACTCTAATTATTCCCGCCATGTAGCAAACAGAACTTTAACCTCAAGGAAGTGCACATGTACTGATCTGGCTCCCCTTCTGCTGTTACCTCCTGTCTGAACCTCTCCCCCATCAGGCCTAGGGCTATATCAGTCCCCTGGTCATGATGCTTTTATCACAGACCCCAGAGTCTGCTACTTAAGGAGTACTCTCCCTTCAGGTTCAATGCTGCCCTGGATTGCTTCCTGGTTTGCTCAAAACTACTCTTGTAATCCAGCCACAGTGGTGGTTCTTTCTCAATCAGCAGTGTCCCTTTCTTTGACTGCTGGAAACACTGAGGGAGAAGAAAATCTTCCCAAGGTGTCAGTATAAGCATGGCTGCATTTCCCACAACAGTCACAAGACAATCCACTTTGTCCTATTCACTGCCCACTGGCAGGTTTCCTTAACGGCAGCACTTAAAGAAAAGCAAACTAGATCACTAATAGCTCTTTAACAAAATAAACGAAGGAAACCAATTAAGAAACATTCATGGAGATGCCAAACTCCTCTCCCTTGTATGTCAGAGAAAAATATCTGCAGCTTTTGATCAGGCCCTAGAATCAGACTGGCTGGATTCAAATCCCACTTCTCCATTTGCTAACTGAGTAACCTTGGACAAGTTACTTAACATCTCTGTGTGCCAGTTTCCTTATCTGTAAAATGGGGATAATTACAGTACTTACCTCACGAATGGTTTTAAGGGTTAAAATGAGCTGATACGCGTAAAGTCCTTAGAATAGTGCTTATACAGCACATAGTGGTCAAAAAGTGTTACTACTGTTGCTGTTATTATTATCATTATTTGTTCAGTCCAGGCTAGGCATAGATGCCATCAAAGTTTTGCTCAGAGGACCAGGGTTCCAGTCAGCACTCAGAAATCCCTGCAAATCATGGATTGTCAGAATCTCAAACATCTGTGCATGCCTCATAGTTGGCAGGATATTTTCATATCTATCACCTCACCTTGTTCTTCCATAGTACCTGTGAGATAGAGAATCAAGATTATCTCCATTTTACCAATGAGGAAACCAGAGCTCAGAGAGGGCAAGGGCTGGCTTAGTCAAGGTCACACCAAGAGTTATTCTGCAGCCTAGTGTGACTCAGCCCTGGGACTCCAGAGCCGAGGCTCTCTGCACCACGTGGGAAGGAGTCAGTCTTCCTCCATCTCCAGATCTGGGGCGGGCTCCACTCTCCCAGAGTGGTCTGAGAAGACTGGGGCCCACAGAGCTGCCTCATTCTTCAGAGTTTGATGATGTGTCTCTCTCCAGGGCTGTTTTGGCAAACATTACTGAGCACGGCTCTAAATCACCAAGACCCGTCAGGCTTCCGTTCCCAGAAGGTCAAAAGAGATGGACTAAGAGCCACAGCTATGCTGAAGCATCCACCCACACCCAACCCACTTAGGCGCCAAACCCTTCCACGGCCCTAAGTGCTGAAGTTTGGCACCTGGGACCTTCTTGCCTAACGTGATTCCTCTTGGGGCTTTTTAAAACGAAATGCACCAGTCAATAGAATCAAATTGCCATGCCTTGAAGTGATGCCAGCAAATAGAAGATTCTGTTGACTGCACTGATAGAAGCATTTTAACTTTCAAAGCTCTTTCACAGCTATTTCTTTTTTAAAAAAGTTTGTTGGTAATCTTTTGTGGAATCAGGTTTAAAAATAAAGCTGATACCTCTCCCTCCCCATTTTATTTTACTTATTTATTTTTTTGAGACAGAGTCTCATTCCTCGCACAGGCTGGAGTGCAGTGGCGCAATCTCGGCTCCTGCAACCTCCGCCTCCCATGTTCAAGCAATTCTCCTGCCTCAGCCTCCCAAGTAGCTGGGACTACAGGCACCCGCCATCATGGCTGGCTAAATTTTTTGTATTTTTAGTAGAGACGGGGTTTTACCATATTGATTAGGCTGTTCTCCAACTCCTGACCTCAAAGATCCACCTGCCTTGGCGTCTGAAAGTGCTGGGATTACAGGCGTGAGCCACCGCAACTGGCCTCTCTGCCTCCCCATTTTAAAAGTAATAGAATTTCACTTTCACTTCTTTTTAACCTGGGTTTACATGATCATTACAGAAAATTTAGAAAAGATGGAAAAATAGAAAGAAAAGAAGAAGAATTCCATTCCTCCCTCTGCCCTGACCACGTGCACATCCCACCGCATCAAGAAAACCATGACTCATACTGTGGTAAATTTTATTTCCAGATGATGTTCTTGGAAAAGCTTTGGTTTGCTTGCTGGACAGACCTGTGATCACAATGCACATCCAACTTCGCACTGCCTTTTCTCTTTTAACATAACAAAATCATTTTTCCATATTGGATAAGGTTGCATATTATCTCCACTAAGATGTGGCATTATAATTTGTTTACCAATCCTCGACTGTTACAATACAGCTTGATTATAAATTTTCAGAATTTCAGTGTCTCCTAATTTTGTCATCACAATCCCTATGCAGCAGGTAGGGCGGCCACAATGACCTCTTTTGGGCTAGGACATCACACACACAGAAGGTCACTTGTTTGGAAATATATTATCTGTGTCAAGAAAAGTAAACCAATGGGACTTAGGGGGGTTCTTCTCTCTTCTTCTCCCGGCATCTTTCTGACAGGGTCATTAATAAGTTTAAAGTCAACCACAGAACACAGTATTAACTACCAATAACTGACTTTTAAAACTAGGACAGTGGTACTTGCAAATCTTGCATATATATATATATATATATATATATATATATATATATATATATATATTTTTTTTTTTTTTTTTTTTTTTCCTTCTTCTTCTTTAGACGGAGTCTCGCTCTGTTGCCCAGGCTGGAGTGCAGTGGCGCAAACTCGGTTCACTGCAAGCTCCACCTCCTGGGTTCATGCCATTCTCCTGACTCAGCCTCCTGAGTAGCGGGGACTACAGGTGCCTGCTATCACGCCCGGCTAATTTTTTTTTTTTTGTATTTTTTAGTAGAGATGGGGTTTCACCGTGTTAGCCAGGATGGTCTCGATCTCCTGACCTCATGATCCACCCGCCTCAGCCTCCCAAAGTGCTGGAATTACAGGCGTGAGCCACCGCGCCCGGCCCCAAGGTTTCATATTAATTTTTACTATTTGATGCTAATGGCCCAAAGGGGAGTCAAGTCCACTTAAATCCATTAGGCAGGAAAGACTTTGAGGATACAGAAAATACCATACCTTTAAAAGGAAAGCAGTAATAGGGGCCTAGAGAATTGGGCAAAAAGACTAAACATCTTACTAGGGCTTCACACCATTTTGTAAAGGCCTAAATGTAAACCTCTTCTAAGTGAGAGTCCCCTAATTAACATGTCATTGTTCCCACAACTCCTTATTTCTAGCTCTATTAGAGTACTTTTCCCTTTCTGCTTAGTATGATAGCTAGCCAGTTATCTCCCTTATTTGCTCAATCATTTGGTTATTTATTCCACAAATATTTATGGGACGCTTCCTCTGGAAATCACCCCATCATAAAAGATTTACAAGCTGTGATCCTCACCATGAAGGTACTCAAGTGTCACAGTTTAGCATGTGGGATCTGGAGACACAGCATCCGAGTTCCTGATCCAATTGCCTTGTTCCAGCTGTAAAAAGTCAGGCAAGTTACATGACCTCTCTGTGTCTGTTTGCTCCTTTCTAAGAAGAGGATAATAACATGTGTCTCACAAGACTGTTTTGAGGCTTAAAGGCATTCATCCTTTAAGAGTATTTGGAACATAACTTGGTATATGTCAGCAGTCAATAAACATTTGTTATCATGATTGCCATCCAGAAGAGCAAAATCTAATTAAGACGTTTCTGAGTTGCATCTCTTGCCTAAACTGTGATAATAATTTTTTTTTTTTTTGAAACAGGGTCTCATTCTGTCATCCAGGCTGGAGTGCAGTAGCATGCTCATGGCTCACTGCAGCCTCAACCTCCTGGGCTCAGATGATGCTTCCACCTCAGCCTCCCGAGTAGCTGGACTACAGGGACATACCGCCACACTCGTCTCATTTTTGTATTCTTTGTAGAGATGGGCATTTGCTTTGTTGGCCAGGCTGGTCTCAAATTCCTGAGCTCAAGTGGTCTGCCTGCCTAGGCCTCCCAAAGTGCTGAGATTACAGGCATAAGCCACCATGCCTAGCCAATAAATTCTTATACTCCCACTTTTGTGGTCAACTTTTTCTTTTTTAAAAAAATAGTTTTGGTTTCTTAAATTTTTAAAAAACATTTCAATAATTTTGGGGGAACAGGTGCTGTTTGGTTGTATGGAAAAGTTCTTTAGTGGTGATTTCTGAGATTTACCCATCAACCACGCAGTATACACTGTACCCAACGTGTAGTCTTTTATCCTTCACCACCCTCACACCTTTCCCCCGGAGTCCCCAGAGTCCATTATATCATTCTTCTGCCTTTGCATTCTCATAGCTTAGCTTCTGCTTATAAGTGAGAACGTACACTGGTTTTTCATTCCCAAGTTACTTCACTTAGAATAATGGTCTCCAGCTCCATCCAGGTTGCTGCAAATGCCATTATTTCATTCCTTTTTATGGTTGAGTGGTATTCCATGGTGTATATCTATATGTATCTTTTTCTTTATCCACTCATTGGTTGATGGGCATTTAGGCTGGTTCCATACTTTGTAGTTGTGAATTGTGCTGCTATAAACATGCATGTGCAAATGTCTTTTTCATACAATGACTTCTTTTCCTCTGAGTAGATACCCAGTAGCGGGATTGCTGGATCAAAAGGCAGTTTTACTTTCAGTTCTTTAAGGAATCTCCATACTGTTTTCTATAGTGGTTGTACTAGTTTACATTCCCACCAACAGTGTAGAAGTATTCCCTTTTCACCACATCCATACCAACATTTCTTATGTTTTGATTTTTTAATTATGGCCATTCTTGCAGGAGTAAGGTGGTATTGCATTGTGGTTTTGATGTGCATTCTCTGATAATTAGTGATCTTGAGCATTTTTTCATAGTTTGTTGGCCATTTGTATTAGTCTGTTTTCATGCTACTAATAAAGACATACCTGAGAGTGGGTAATTTATAAAGGAAAAAAGGTTTAATTGACTCACAGTTCCACATGGCTGGGGAGGCCTCGCAATCATGGCTGGAGGTGAATGGGGAGCAAAGTCACATCTTAAGTGGCAGCAAGCAAGAGAGCTTGTGTAGGGGAACTCCCCTTTATAAAACCATCAGATTTCGTGAGACTTATTCACTATCATGAGAACAGCACAGGAAAGGCTCGCCCCCATGATTCAATTACTTCTCAGCAGGTTCCTCCCATGACACATAGGAATTATAGGAGCTACAATTCAAGATGAGACTTGGGTGGAGACACAGCCAAACCATATTACCATTTGTAATATGTACCATCTTCTTTTCTTGTACCATCTTCTTTTGAGAATTGTCTATTCACGTCCTTAACCCACTTTTTGATGGAATTATTTGTTTTTTTCTTGCTGATTTGTTGAATTCCTTGTAGATTCTGGATATTAGTCCTTTGTCAGATGCAAAGTTTGTGAATATTTTCTCACATTCTGTGGGCTGTATTTACTCTGATTATTTGTTTTGCTGTGCAGAAGCTTTTTAGTTTACTTAGGTCCTATCTATTTATCTTTGTTTTTGTTGCATTTGCTTTGGGGTTCTTGCCATAAACTCTTTGCCTAAGTCAATGTCTAGAAGAGTTTTTCCAATGTTATCTTTTATAATTTTTATGATTTCAGGTCTTAAAGTCCTTGATCCATCTTGAGTTGATTTTTGTATAGGTGAGATATGAGGATCCAGTTTCACTCCTCTACATGTGGCTAGCCAATTATCCCAGCACCATTTGTTGAATAAGGTATCCTTTCCCCATTTTACATTGTTTGTTTGTTTTGTTGAAGATCAGTTGGCTATACGTATTTGGCTTTATTTCTGGGTTCTCTATTCTGCTCCATTTTCCTCAATTATTCTCTCAAATAAGTTTTCCAAACTTTTTGATTTCTCTTCTTTCTTGGGAACACGAATTATTTTTGTGTTTGGGTCATTTGCACATAATCCCAAATTTCTTGGAGGCTTTGTTCATTTTTTCAATTCCATTTTCTTTGTCTTTGTTGGATTAGGTTAATTCAAAAGCCTTGTCTTCATCCTCTGAAGTTCTTTCTTCTACTTGCTTGATTCTATTGTTGAAACTTTCCAGTGTATTTTGCATTTCTGTAAGTATGTCTTTCATTTCCAAAAGTTATGATTGTCTTTTCTTTATAATATCTATTTCTCTGGAGACTTTTTCATCCATATCCTCTATTATTTTTTAAATTTCTTTAAGTTGGTTTTCACTTTTCTCTGGTACCTCCTTGAGTAGCTTAATAATCAACTTTCTGACTTCTTTATGTGGCAATTCAGAGATTTCTTATTGGTTTGGATCCATTGCTGGAGAGCTAATGTGGTCTTTTAGGGTGTTATAGAACCTTGTCATATTACCAGAATTACTTTTATAGTTCCTTCTTATTTGGGTAGACAGTTTCAGTGGAAAAATCTGGAACTCAAGGGCTCTCGTCCCATGGGGTGATTCCTTGATGTAGTGCTCTCCCCATTCCCCTAGGGATGGAGCTTCCTGAGAGACAGACTGCAGTGATTGTTATTGCCCTTCTGGGTCTAGCCACCCAGCGGGGCTACCAGACTCCAGGCTGGTGCTGGGGAATGTCTGCAAAGAGTCCTGTGATGTGATCCGTCTTCAGGTCTCCCAGCTATGGATACCAGTACCTGCTCTGGTAAAGGTGGCAGGGGAGTGAAGTGGACTCTGTGGGAGTCCTTGGTTGTAGTTTCATTTAGTGTGCTGGTTTCCTCAAATGCTGGTTATGCTAGCAGTGAAGTTGTCACATGGACAGACTCAGGACTTCTGGTTACCCAGGATGTTGCAGGCGGTAGAATTAGCTGTTGTTTTCTCCTTCTTTGGAGCAGGGTTGTTCTGTTATGAGTTGCTGTAATGGCTTGAATTGGTTGGCCTCCAGACAGGAGGTGGCACTTTTCAAGAGAGCATAAGCTGCAGTAGTAGAAGGGGGATATAAGCTTGCCCTATGTTGGCCAAGTTAAGTACTTACTTGGGTTTCTCAGGCAATAGGTGGGGCCATAGAGCTACCAAGACCTTATGTCTTCGGCTACCAGGGTGGGTAGAGAAAAACCATCAGGTGGGGCTGGGGTAGGCGGGTCTGAACTCAGACTCTCTTTGGGCAGGGCTTGCTGCAGCAACTGTGGGGAATGTGGGGGAGGCAGCGGTGCGGGTGGTTCTCAGGCCAATAGAGTTATGTTCCCAGGAGAATTATGGCTGCCTCTGCTGTGTCATACAGGTTTCCAGGGAAGAGGGGGAAGCCAGCAGTGACAGGCCTCACCCAGCTCCCACACAGCCAGCAAAGCCAGTCTCATTCCCACCATGCCTCACCAACAGCACCAAGTATACATCCAGGCAGCTGGTGAGCAGAGCTGAAATCTTGCCCCAGACAACAAGCCTCTCCACCAAGAAAGCAAGTGGGGCTGTCAGGCTTTACCTCTCCCTGCCTGCCTGCAGCTTTGGCTGTGACTTCTGCACTCATATATGCACTTCCAATTTGTCCCCACCCCCCGACCCCGACCAGATTCTACTCAGGAAAATTTATGCTTAGGTCGAAATTATTACAAAGTTCAGCCAGAAGCTTCCATCACCTGTGGCTCCTCTCTAATTCTGCTGGCTGCCTTCCCCAAGGACTCCTGTGAGATAAGGCCAGGAATGCTTTCCCTGGGCTCAAGCTAGGGACTAGGAAGACCCTATAGGGTTCTTCCTGCTGCTGCTTCTATTTTTATACTTCTCTCAGCTCCTTAAAACCGTTTCAGTTCTAGATAAGGTTAAATCCTTCTCCCATGATCTGTATTTTCAGGTTCTCCAGTGGGGATGTGTGTCAGAGACCAACTTTTCCCCCTCTCACACTCTGGGAGCTCACAGTTTTTGGGCTGTCTTACAGAGTCTGCAGTGGCAAGCCACTTCTTTCAAAGACTCTATGAATTATTTCGGTTTTCCTGGTATGTTCCTGTAGTGGTTCTTGGAGCTCAAGTTCATGGTTTGAGTCCCCACACACTGTTCTGTCCATCCACGTGGGAGGTGCATGTTAGTCCTGTCTCCTATCTGCCATTTTCCTCTTCACCCCTATAAAAATCTGGTCAACTTTTTCTGTCTTCTCTGGAAGTTGTTCATATTTCTTATGATAAATCCCTTTTCTCTAACTAATTCTCCAATGAGTACCTAGGCAATCCATCTGGCTTTAGTGGCATTAATAAGACGGACTATGCTTCTGCATTAGATTTTTCCCCTAAAGTCTCCAGTCTGCTTATTTTTACAAGCAAGTATGAGGTTTTGAAAATGACTTATTCATCATGGTCACAAAATGAGCACTTTCCCATTAAGATTTATCACAAATCTAACTCTAACTGAAATGCTGGGAGGAAAAAGTAGAGACATACACATGCAGATACATAAATATATATAGCATTTATGTATACCCTTTATACATATTTTTTAAGTCAAAGAATTTTTAACACTCTCCCAACACTCAGTTGGAACAGTAAAAGCTATACCTAGAGGAAAATTTATAGACTGAAATGTTTTAATTTTAAAAGAGACTTTTTAGAAGAAACTCTTTATTCATATATAAAAATTAGAAATAGTAAATTCCTCTCGCCTCAAAAAATGAACTAATAAAAATAAAAGCTGGAACTAATGCATTATAACACAAAGAATAGTAGCAGCAAGGATAAATAAGTTCAAAAGACCTCTTTGGGTCTTTTGGAAGAAAAATTAAAAGAGTAAAATAGGTAAATCTTTCATAGGCCTGTTTAAGAAAAAAAAATAGAGTGAACAGAAGTGTAAGACATTAGGAATGAGAAAGGAGGCAACTACAGATAAAGAAGAAAATAAAATAATTATGAGCGAATTCCACCTGCAACTCTGGCAAAAAGTTTGAAACCCTAGAGGAAATGAATAATGTCGATAATCAAAATCAATCCAGAAATGAAAAACCTAAACAGACAGATTAACATAGGAAAAAGGAGCCACTTACCATAGAAAAAGGTAGGAGGATCAGATATATTCAGCTGAATTCTATCTTATTTTTTTAAATAGGTAATTCCAATGTTATTGAACTAATTCAGGCCTTTAAAATACACAGAAATGTCCCCAATTCATTTTATGAAACCAGTACTGAGTTAGTACCAAAATCCAATCAAGATTTACTAAATAAATAAAACAATGATCAAAATATGTACATAAATAAATATGATGCAGCCAAGCAAAAATGTAGAAGGAGGCATGAGGAAGACCGCCATAAAAAACAGAAACCTGTGATCACATCTGTGCAATTATATAAAAATTATGTGTGTACATTTAATAAATTATTTAATAACACATAAATTGTCAATTAATACGTAATAATTTTATCAAGTCCACAACAGTCAACATAAGCACATACACACAAACGAATGTAAGACTTTTCACTGCATTTAAGGACCCAGTAGTAAGATCCTACGCCAAACTCAGGACTCAGTGTTTTCTCAAAGGTTATGATGTGTAATCCTAGCCTTGTACCATCTACATTGGTACATGATAGGCAGAAAATGTCTCATTCATTTTGCATCTCACAGAGAATTTTGTTACATTGAAAAGAAAATAATCCTTCTAGTATATTAGGAGCATTCAGATAACCTGACATTCTCTAAAATTAAGAATAAGCAAAGATAATCATGTCAAGACATATGTTCCAATAAATAGATATGAGGGGGGAAAGGGGTTCTCTATTCAAAGCAGTTTAGAAAATCTCTTATGGGAGATTCACAGGGCATACGCATACACTAAGGGCTTTGAAAAGTCCTGTGGTAAACGAAAGTTTTATTTAACTTGGAAAATCCCCAAATGAGTTGACTGCAGAACTCTTTCTTCTTGTTTCTTTTTTGTGTGATACCTGTTAATATCCCAAGGAACTGCAGCTCTGAAGAACACTTTGAGGGAATTCCAGAGTTAAAGTCATTGTCCTAGCAATTTCAGACACTGAGAAGAAAACAAAGAACTGATGGGTAGACAGAATCCATTGTAGAATCAGAAAACACACTCTTTGTCATTCCATGGCTGACAAATTATTCTGCTTTTGTCATATTTCAGATTATATCTTACCAGGCTTATTCATGAACTCATCTACTGATGCACTCACATGAGTCAACATAAGGATGTGCACCAAGAAAACTGTAAAATGCTATAACAAATGTATGTAAAGACCATATTTTTTTTTTTTTGAGAGAGAGAATCTCACTTTGTCACCCAGGCTGGAATTTAGTGGCGCAATCATAGCTCATTGCAGCCTTGAACTCCTAGGACCAAGAGATCCTCCTGCCTCAGTCTCCCAGGTAGCTAGGACTACAGACATACGCCACCAGGCCCAACTAATTTTTTAAATAAGGTTTTTGTAGAGACGGTCTCTCTCTGTTACCCAGGCTGGTCTCAAACTCCTGGCCTCAAGTGATCCTCCTGCCTTAGCCTCCCAAAGTGCTGGGATTACAGGCATAAATTATTATTATACTGATTGGTTCTAATGCCTTCTTGGGGCACTAAGTTAATTTAGGTAAGATGTTAATATCAGTACTTGATCATTTTCTCCCATGACCAGAAACACACAAGAAAAGTGGTCTACTGAAAAAGACTGTGTGATATATCGTGGGTACTGATGTTCTTCTTACCATTTGGCACCAAAAACCTGCAGGTATCTATTTTGGGACCACAGAAGCAGAATATGTTGTCAATATTAATAACGAATACTATTATTAATTCTTAATTCCATATTCGATGACTGATTAGATGTAAGTTTTACTGCAGAAGTCTAACGCCATTAATATGATATCACTATTTCAAGATTTGTTAACTCAGATTTTTATAAAAACAAATTACAGCCCAACTTTATTAGGAATGAATGATTAAACTGATTGCCTCTAAGACTGTAAAAAAGAAAATATTTAAGTAATAATTTTCAAGCCCTTTAGAACATCCAAACTCAAAAAGATAACAATATGTTTATAGCAAATAATTTTCATTTATAGTTTACTTGCCTTTAGTGTTTATATATATAGTCATATCAAAATAGCATTTATTTTAAAAATTCCATAATTTAGATGTTTCACAAACTGAGGCTACACTGTCTCTCATTTGACATAAAAGAATAAGGTCTATCTACATTAAATTTAAATTTGCTCCATCAACGAAAGTTCTATTTCTATCTCCTAATGCCTCAGCTTACCTAGTAATAACCATATCATTAGACATGATTTTTCAGTATGGGATTTTCCTTTATCCTTCCATTCTCCTTCAGACCAATCTGTGATTAGCAACAGAGTATCAAGATGTCTGATCAGGACTAGGGGTGCCCACAAAGAGAGAAAGAACCAGAATGCTGGTACTTTCGTCATGTGGCTTAGCCAGTCCAGAGAACTTTCTTGTCTAAGAGAGGCCTAAGAGAGACATATATCATTTGCTAGAGTCTGGGAGGAGATGCCACGTGTGTCTGCCACTACCAGAAAGACAAGAACCCACAGTCAAAGTATTTACTGTATACATGAAACTTACCCTTTCCACACTCATTCAATAAGCCTGCTGAGTACCTGCCACATGCCAGACATGAAACTTCCTGAATACTTCCTACAGTCCAGCATTTTTCTAAGTGTTTGCAAATGTGAACACATTTAAGACTCACAACAATGCTATTAGGAAGGGACAAATTCTTGTTCTCATTTTACCGATGCAGATGCAGGCACAGAAAAGTTAAAAACCTTACCCAAAGTCATACAGTCGGTAAGTAAGTGGTGGAGCTGTGATTTTAACTCAGGCTGTCTGGCCCCAGAGTCTACATTCTTAACCGCAACTGTATCCTGCCTCACTACAGAGCAGCACGTAAGATGAGGTCCCTACCCCAAGGTGTTTAATATTCTTTTGAAAATATGAAGAGTTTACCTTTTAGAGATGCTTCGTTTTTTAAGAGACGGGGTCTTGCTCTGTTTCCTGGGCTGGCGTGCAGTGGCGAGATCATAGTTCACTGCAGCCTGGAAGTCATGGGCTTTTACAAGCAATCCTCCCACCTCAGCCTCCTGAGTAGCTAGAGCTACGGGCATGTGCCACCATGCCCAGTGAATTTTGTACTTTTTTTTTTGTAGATATTGGGTCTTGCTCTGTTGCCCAGGCTGGTCTAGAACTCTAGGCCTCAAGCAATCCTTCTGCCTCAGCCTCCCAAAATGCTGAGATTACAGACATGAGCCACTGCACCAGGCTGAGATGTTACTTTTTAAAAACAAAACACTCAATGCAAGGTTTCTGAATGCCAGTTCAAACTTCAATCCTTGATGCAAAGTTTTCACCCAACCAAGACAAAACAAGAAAAAACAATTACGAGAGAGGGGGAGAGAGAGGGAGTGTGTGTGTGTGTGTGTGTGTGTGTGTGTGTGTGTGTGTGTGTGTGTGTGTGTGTTGGGGGTGGGGGGTGTATGTCCACCAATTGCCTTTCTGGGTCTAATGGATAATCCTCCATTTTAGTGTCAATATTTCCTTTGTTTTCTAAACAATAATGACAGCATGTGTAGCTATTGTTTTGTTAATGCCCTTACTTGACCAAATGAGAAGTTAGTAAATCTAAACTGAGCTTCTGAAATTTTTCATTTCACTGGTCCATGAGCTCATAGAGCTCCAAGTCTGAAAATCAATGAACTACCTTTTTTTTTTTGAAGAAGGCATTATGTTAAGTGAAATAAGCCAGACACAGAAAGACAAATATTGCACAAGCTCACTTATATGTGCAATCTAACATAGCCAAACTCACAGAAACAGAGAGTAGAATAGTGGTTACTAGGGGCTGTTGAGGGAGAGAAATGGGGAAGTGTTGGTCAAAGGGTATACAATATTTCAGTTATACAAAATAAATAAGATCTGGAGATCTACTGTATAGCATAGGGCCCATGATTCACAACACTGTATTGTATGCTTAAAAATTCGCTAGATCTTTATGTTATGTGCTCTTACCACAAAAGGAAAAAAAAGGAAGGGAGAAGAAACTTTGGGAGATAGTGGATAAGTTCAGGGCATGGATAGTGATGATGGTTTGATGGTTTCATGGTATACCTATTTCCAAACACATCAAGTTATACACATTCAATATCTGCAACTTTTTGTATGTCAGTCATTCCTTAGTAAAGTTGTTAAAAAAAAAAAAAAAAGATGGCGACCCGATATTTCCTTTGATAGGTAAGTATCATAGAGAAGGATATTTCGTACCTCTTACTGCTGGGGTCGGGGAGGCAAAGAGGAAATGTGAGGAGGGCACCAGAGTGGCAGCCTCCACAGAACATTCTGGCATTAAAGGTTGTGAGGGGCTTGTCTGAATGGCCAAGGACAAACTGCCTAAATGAAGACTTTTTAAATGATGGAAAATGCTCTCCTTCTCTGATGTACCCCCCTCTAAAGAAAGAACAGTTGTTCTGAGGTCAGAATTTTATATAGCTTGTGATTTTACACCCTTCTTGTTCAGTATCATTATATATGCACAGCTTCTTGAAGTTAAAAACATAAACTACTACCTACCCTCAAGATGAATAACAAACAATTCTATCTCCTACCCTGAAGTAATTGTTAACACTATTATTTTCACAGTAAATAATTGTTACAGCCATTTGCTGGTGAAATAGTGACATGTTTTGTTGACTTCTTACAAATACCAAGAGAAATCAAATGCTTCTTGTAGCACATTGGTTAAGTTGCTAATTACTTGTATTTGAGCTTGAAATCCTGGCTCTTCTCAAAAATAAAAATAAGTTATGACAAATATATATCACTGGAGCATATAGAAATCAACATTTCTATTATAGAGTCTTCCTTAAAATCTACTCTCTCAAAAAAAATGGATTGAAATATTGAATAATTTAACACTAAATTAATTTCAGTAGGGTAAATCTGTTGGCTAGATCACTTGCAGGGTAGTGATACACATCTTTATTCAGAATTCTGAGTATTTAACTGGTTATTTTTCATGCTAACCTACATTAGACAGTTCTCATGTTCAAAACATCCAGTCTATTTAAGATTGGATTCCCCAAGAAAATGTGCTACACATGTGAAAATGAGTACAGGTTGAGCATCCCAAATCCAAAAATCCAAAAATACAAAATCTGAAATGCTCCAAAATCCAAAAGTCTTTGAGTGTCAATGTGATACTCATAGGATATGCTCAATGGAGCATTTTGGATTTCAGATTTCCAGATTTGGGATACTCGATAAGTGTAATGTAAATATTCCCAAATCAAAACATATCTGAAACCTGAAACACTTCTATTCCCAAGCATTTCAGATAAGGAATACTCAACCTGTAATTTAAATCAATGCCAGAAGAACTATTAGGGGAAAATAAAATTTAATAACCAAAGTTAGATTTTACAGCTTTAATGGCAACTTTAGAACATTTTAATAGCACAAAAGAATAAAACAGACTTTATAATATCATAGCAAGTAGAAAGCAAAATAGTAACTTTATTCTATGAATTAAAAAGTCACAGTATGACATAGTTCTTAGGTTTACAGCCACTATACAAGGGACAAAGCCAGAGCCAACTTTCCTTGAAAAGCAATTAAAAGAACAGATGAACACAAAGTAGTCTCCAATATGTAGTTGACTCTGCTGTGATTTTATCTATTTCAATGAACTCAAAGAGAAAGTTAATGTATAGTACAGGATCATACTCAAGGGAAAGAGGGAAAACATCACACAATGGGCCAGGGGATCTGGATTCTGCTTGCAATTCCCCGACATGCTCCCATTTACATGTAAAGCAAATCACTTTATCTAAGCCTCAGTTTCCCAATTGTAGCATGAGAAGCTGAAATCCAATCAAGAACTTGCTAATTTAGCATGTTTTAAAACAAGAAATTTTTTCAGTAGTTTTACCACTGTAGACATAGATTAATCTTGCCCAAGAAAAAAATTTTCCCTTTGCTATGTCTTTTTTTTTTTTTTTTTTTTTTTTTTTTGAGACAGAGTCTTGCTCTGTTGCTCAGGCTGGAGTGCAATGGTGTAATCTCAGCTCACTGCAACCTCTGCCTCCTGGGTTCAAGCAATTATCTGCCTCAGCCTCCCTAGTAGCTGGGGTTACAGGTGCCCACCACCACACCTGGCTAATTTTTGTATTTTGAGTAGAGATGGGGTTTCACCATCTTGGCCAGGCTGGTCTTGAACTCCTGGCCTCATGATCCACCGACTTCAGCCTCCCAAAGTGCTAGGATTACAGGTGTGAGCCACCGCGCCTGCCTGCAATGTCTTTTAAGTTTCTTAATCTCTAAGTTCTCCCCTTCCACTCCTTTTGCTCCTGAAGAAGAGCCTGAGCCCTTTTACCTGCAGAGTTTCCCACAGTCTGGACTGTGGTGATACACATTCATGACTCATTTCAACATGTTCCTCTGTCCTCTGTATTTCCTAAAAATGGGTGGTTGATTCCAGAAATAGAAGCATTTATGTCCTCGCTTTTATTAACTTATAACATTTTGAAATTGGAATTAAACATTAATAATAATGACATAAAGGAGTTTAATTCAGTCTATATGAACCCAACTCTTCCTCATTTGCTTAGGGCACTACCCCTTTCCAAGGGGGAATAAGGCATAATGGCCACATTCTCTATCAACACCAAGGATTCTTTTTACTAGAAAGCCAACTCTAGGCTCATATGCACTCAGGATATGGATATTACCCTAGGTATGATCTTGGCAAGTTTCCCTTCATCTTTATGTTTGCATTAGTCTCCTTTCTTCCCAGACCTACAGCTCCCCCAGCTACAGAGGCGTTACATAAGGTAGACCTGCCACAGGGTGGCTGCCATTGTTAACTACTCCAGGAGGCAGCCCTTCAGCAGAAATAATAGAAATATGCTGCCTTAGAAGTGTGAACCCATCTATCTTGGGGAAATGAACTCCAGAAGGTGAATTTAAAAACAGCATCTTAGCAGGAAAGGCGGAAAGGGAGAGACATACCCTAGCATCGTCATCGAGGAAACAATTCTGCCACCAGCCATTACAGCTGCATCATCTGCAAAAATGAGTGTTCTATAGGCAGAGCAGATGTTCCAAAGCTGTGTCATTTGTAAAAATAAATGAGAAACGTGAATTGAAGATGCGACCTCACTCAATATCATCTTTGAGAGTAATAGCAATTAGGCACATTGAATATAATTAGAGCTGAGAATGCAAGGATCTTTCTTCAGTCTAAATATAACTACAGAAAACATATTTTCAAAAAGTAAAATAACTCTCACTGTTGCCTGCCACCACACAGTTGCAAAGTGAGCCAGTCTAATTCTGGGGAGCTTAGACAAATGTGGCTGATTCCATACCTTTGCTAAAAAAAAAGTTGCCAATTCTTCAGCCATAGGAGAAATTAAAGGTTGGATTGGTCAGAAAGAAAACAGGTGTTTTTTGTTTGTTTGTTTGTTTTAAGACTGAATAATTAGGAAGAAAAAGGCAGAGGAGGGAATTTATTTTTTCCCTCATAACTTCAGAGAATTAGGAATAATGGCTTCACATATCCATCCCTGTAAGGAAGATAGGAGTAAGAAAAGTTGGTAGACTTCTGGGCCTCAACTTCTTGCTCAGATATAGCTGTGGTAATTTGGTTGCTCAGATTTCTCGCTCAGATATAGCTGATCACATCTCAAGAATCACCTCCAGGCCGGGCGCGGTGGCTCACGCCTGTAATCCCAGCACTTTGGGAGGCCGAGGCGGGCGGATCACGAGGTCAGGAGATCGAGACCATCCTGGCTAACACGGTGAAACCCCGTCTCTACTAAAAATACAAAAAATTAGCCGGGCGTAGTGGCGGGCGCCTGTAGTCCCAGCTACTCGGGAGGCTGAGGCAGGAGAATGGCGTGAACCCGAGAGGCGGAGCTTGCAGTGAGCCGAGATTGCGCCACTGCACTCCAGCCTGGGCGACAGAGCGAGACTCCGTCTCAAAAAAAAAAAAAAAAAAAAAAAAAAAAAAGAATCACCTCCAGCTGATTGGTAGTGGCTGCCTAGACTGTTATGAAGAATTCTAAGCACAGTCCTGGATTGGCAGGGAAGGGTTCTGGGATCAATTAGCAATGTCTGCCTTGGGTGCTGTAGTACAGAATGGCAGCATGAATTTGGACAGATGTTTAGCATCTCTGGGGAAGGTGATCTCTGAGGTTTCTTCTAGCATCTGGTCCAACTGCATTCAATTTCAGATGAAGCTAGGACCAATAATGCTTGAGTGACTTGCCAAAGGTCTAGCACCAGAACTAGAGGATTCCCTCTAATAGTGTTCTTGCTACCAACAGATGCATCACGTTACTTTTCTGGAGCACTGACTCAGAGATAGAGGAGGTAAAATGAAGCAAGGAGAAGCAAAGGGAGGAGGTTAAAGACTGATTGAGAAACCAAATGAAAAAGAGGAAAAGATCAGCAGGATTGACAGAGATGGGCCAGAAAACAGACTTGTATCCCACGCTGCAGTTGCTATGCAAAGTAACCATTTCCACACCTGATGAATCAAAGATACTCATGATTCCCTTGCTGACGATTTCCTGCTCACCACCCACGTGGGGAAACCTACTTGTGTCATCTCCCCCATGGCTGAGCATCTGCTCTCACAGCCCCAGCTGCGCAGACTGCTGGTCATATGACTGTGGCTTCCTGGCCACAGATGCTTGGACCAGAAATGGATAACTCGTCCAACTTGAACTAGTTGGATTTTTCCCCAGGAATTTGAAACTGGGGCCTGAAGACACTAGGTGCTTGACTAGGGAAGTGACATAAAACAGGAAGCCATGTCTGGCCCACATACATGCCAAAACAGAGAACACTGGTATGGAGAGAGAGAGAACAGAACAGGTCCAGGAGCTGTAGGGGGAAGAGACCATGTAATCTTAAGAAGAGAAAGAGATATTAGCTGCCCTGCTTCCACATTTTGGTGGGTGGGGGAGGCACTTAGCTGTACTCCAAACCACTGGGTTCCACAGCTCAGGTGGCTTTTATTCACTGCAAATAAATACGACCCCCTGGTGAAGTCAACTGAATCCTACTTGGTTTCCAATTTCTATGGACATAGCAACATTGCTGTGGGGGAGGGGGAGATGAGAATGGTGGCCTCTTATGAGTTTAATATTCTCAGAACACTCAAATTCATATATGCAAAACTTTTCACTAAAATATCAATTTTATGCACCAAGTAAGCATTAAGGCAATAAGTCAAATTAAACAAGATATCAGCTACTTAGAATCTACTCTGATGACTTAGCTTCATAAGCAAACGTGAGACAAGTTTATATTATTACCATGCATTTCATGTACAACAACCCTAGAGTCTGGGCTGCAAAATCCTGAAAACATGGCATCCATTTGCTTTTCACAAGTTACTAAAAAATCCCAGATGGTAAAGCCTTTAAAACTGACTACAGGAAAAATCAGTGTCTGTCTCCTGAGCATGACTTTGAGGCTGCAAAATTGGCTGGTTGGTATATGAAGAGTTCATAAAACTGTGATTAAATAAAGACACCAGGAAGTGCTTAGGCAAAGCCTGTGCAAAGACTGCTCTGTAGCCTCTTTGTATGAGAGCAAAATGATATGAAGCCGGGAGAAATAAACTATTTTAAGACAAAGAACTTTTGTAGGAACTGATTTTCAATGAAGTCCTCCTAATCTGGCACAGAAAATGAAAATGTTGATGGAAAACCCTGTGGAGATGTCACCAAGCATGAGTCAGTGTAGACGTCAAAAAAGAATGTGGTTTGCAAAGGGTTGATCAGTCCGTGGTTCCCCCAACAAATTCTGGGAAACGAATTCTCCAAATTAAATTTTTTCATTGTTTCAGTGTTTTTCAATGACTTTGCATAAAATACTACTTAGTTTTGTTGAGTTTATTCTTCGTGTAGTTTACTCCAAAACCATGTTCAATGCTTAATCTTCAATGAGATAAGCCTCTGGTGCTTTTCCAGGTTGTCAATCTTTAGGTAGACCAGATTCCTCCAAAGAGATATCTGGAACAGGAAGGAAGGATTGTATAGCTCATGCTGCAACAAGACTCAACCTTTCTCTCTGAGGTAACCTTGTAACCGGTGCAGAGGGAGCTGTAGCATCATCTTCCTTTGTCATTCACTTCCTTAGACAGCTGCTTCTCCATATACCTTAAATTGGGGTAGGAGCATAATAATCTAGGAAGAGTCAGTGGAGCATTCATTTTAATTTTCAGACAGTAGAGGGTCTTATAGAGGGTAGATGACAAATAAATGGTTATCACTTTGTCCACTGGTGTCCAGGAACATCTATCTAGCACACAGCCCCTCCTCCAACAAATGCCCCATCCTGCAAACATGAAGTTCATTTGCTACCACCCCCTGTGGCCAACTGGCCCAAGAGTGAACGTCTGCCCCAGGAGAAGCCAATCACTTCTGGCCTCACAGCCGTCAGATTGTCTCTGGGCCACAGAGAGCTGCGGCTAGTTGTGTAGGGGACACTGGGCTGCAAGCTGCCACTTGCAGCATGGATCCACAGAAAGTCTTCAGATACACATAAAGGGGAGGATCAGAAAGAAGTGAAAATGAGGAAATTTGGAGGGAGATGGAATAAAAGGAGGGGAGAGAAGAAGAAACAGAAAGAAAAGAAACAGAGGTGGCTGACCCTGGACTGAATGGTTGTTCTCCCACCAAGCCCAGTGGCACGTTCTCTTCTGGGATTCCAGGATCTACATGCCACGATGTACTCTGATTCAGCTAATATGAGTGTCACTAGCAACCAGAGACTCCCTGCAGACAACATCAACCATCTCAACCTGATGTATGATTAAAAAACCATCGCCACCTCTACCTCCGTGAGGAAAAACACCCATTCCTCCATGAGAAGACTCCACTCTCTACCACCAAATCTTCTATTTAGCTGGAAAAATATTTGTTTTATTTTCATTTTGCCCCATTTTTGTGGTTATTTGTGAACAGTTTAGTACAGTCCCACACACCTCACAGGCCAAAAGGAAAGCTTCCCAGCTGACACTCCTGACCACTGTGTGGAGAGTGCCTGGGAGAAGGCACCACTGATGTTCTCTGTCCCTGTATCTTGAGGTTGATTACACCACATCATCAAGGGAGAGGACCCAAGCTAAGGTATCACCGCCAAAGGTTACAGGCTCTCAGATTTCTCAACCCTGTGCAATTTTTCTCTCCACTTTCTTTTCTGTCTTTGGTCTCAGTGGGTAAGAACATGAGCCTTAGAATCTGACAGACTCAGATTAAAACCCAAGCTTCAGATTTATTTGCTGTGTAACCTTGGGCAAATTGCTTTTCTCCGTGCCTCAGTGTTGTCGCCTAGGAACTACCTTGTTCATGTAACTGATGTGAGAACTGAAGGAGATAATGCACTAAAAGGATTTCGAATATTACCTAGAGCAGGGGCCGGGCGCAATGGCTCACGCCTGTAATCTCAGCACTTCAGGAAGCCGAGGAGGTTGGATCACTTGAGCCCAGGAGTTGGAGACCAGCCTGGCAACATGGAAAACCCCATCTCTACAAAAAATATAAAAGTTATCTGGGGGTGGTAGCAGGTACCTGTAGTCCCAGCTACTCCAGAGGCTGAAGTCGGAGGATCATTTGAGCCTGGGAGATCAAGGTTCCTGTGAGCCGAGATTGCACCACGGCACTCCAGTCTGGGCAACAGAGTGAGACCCTGTCTCAAAAAATAATAATAATTACCTGGAACATGGTAACCATTTTTTAAAACTGTGTATTTATTAATTACTGCCATAATGGCAGCATTAAAAGGTAAAAACTTTTTTAAATGTCAGCCAATTAAAAAGCTAATTGTGTTTATTTTTAAAACAGAACCCACTGCTGCAAAATTATTTTCTATGTCCATTATTAACCTTCCAATCACTCTAAGAAGGATGTCCATGTTTTGTACCTTGTCTATTTTTAAATAGACAACTCTGACCATCTTTTAATAAAAATGTCTCCCACATAATCAACAATCTGGCCACTGACATTTTACGTGACCCTCTAGAGTGCTAAAATTAGAATATTCTGAGATAGTCATAGACTTGCAGTAGTACCTTATCAAGATTATCCAGGAGAAACGGCTAACTAGCTTGTAGAAAAAGACCAGAAGTAAATTTCTTACTCTAAGGAAGCTCTAGATAAATGATCACTTTCAACCTAATCGCAGCTAACTTTATTGTATACAAACTCATAATGTGCTAGGCAGAGCTGAGCCTTTCAGATGCATCACCTGGTCCAGTCCTTACAGCTGAAAGGTAGGTCCTCTGAATACCCCCATTTTACAGGTGGGAAAGCTAAAGTCCAGAGATGTGAGATACTAACCTAAGCTAGAGAGGGTAACACTTGGCACTTAAGCTTGTGCAGTCAGACTCCAAAGTCCAGGTTCTTGACATGTGCCATCTGTGCAAGGAAATTCCATCCATGAGCTCTACAGTTCACCCTAAGGTCAGTGCATATTTGGGACTTAGACCTCATAGTCATCCATCCTAGGCACCAAGGCTCTGCATTTTACCAGATAGCTCAGATTCACCTGGGCAACCACGCATTTCAATGTTTGATGGAACTGTACACAGGTATTTGGTAACATTGCATCACCGATTCCTCCAGTGGCCTTTCCCAGCATCTTCCCATTGGAAATACACTTCCTTTCTGAAAAGGAATTAATTTTACTGAGGGCCAGTTACTTACAGATATTTGACATATGTTATCTTTTTAATCCTCCCACAACACCTGAGTAAGATATCAGTATCCCCATGCATTGGTCACACTTCCATTGCAGAGAAGCCAGTATAAGCAGGGAAGGGTTTACTAGGGATAATAAATGGCTTAAGGAATTGATTAGGAGGCCTGAAGAAACAGCCTCTAGAGACAAGCCTTCCAGGATCTCACCCAAAGTCACAGCAGAAAATTGGGATACTGCAGACAAAAGCCAACACAGCCGTGCCTGTGCTTGGCTGGAGAAACAGCAGCTACAGAAGCTTGGCCTCTGTTTCTGGGCATCACAGAAGTACATCTGATTGGCTGAGCCTAGCCCACATTCTAGCTGTACTGACGCCATGGAAAACTAATGTTTAGCCTTCCAGCTTCTGAGGCCTAGGAAGGCACACTTGGAAAGAATGTAGAGGAAACAATTTCCAATGCTGACCTCCCTGAGTGGGATTTGAACTCAGTCTGCATGACTCCTGGGCCTGTGCCCTTTCTGCAGCACCATGCTGCTCCTACTTGCTTTCTCCATCCCAGTGGTTCTCAAAGCTGGCTTCACATCTGGCTGTCACCACCCAGGTCTTCTGGGTCAGATTCTCCAGGGCTGGCCACGTGTGGTGACTCTGAGGAACACCCACTGGAGCGGCCTCTGCACTTGCCTCACCTCTCTTCTTACTCCCCAGGAGGTCACAGCCTCACACCCTCACATGTTAGGTGATTTGCAGAAGTATCTCAGCCTACTTCTCTTCTCGCTATATCCACGTCCTCGCCAGCATCACTATGCCTTTGCTTTCAGGGCTACCTGCCCCTGTTTTAGGACATGGGCTTTCTGGAGAGCATCTCAGATGCCTGAGTTCAACATTAGTGTCCTCCACATCTGTTTACTTCAGAGACAAACAGTCCTGGGGTCTTAGAAACAAACCTTGTCCTGGCCATGCACAGTGGCTCACATCTGTAATCATAGCACTTTGGGAGGCCGAGACGAGTGGATCACTTGAGGTCAGGAGTTCAAGACCAGCCTGGCCAACATGGTGAAACCCCATCTCTACTACAAGTACGAAAAATTAGCTGGGAGTGGTGGTGCATGCCTGTAGTCCCAGCTACTCGGGGGGCTGAGGCAGGAGAATCACTTGAACCCGGGAGGTAGAGGTTGCAGTAAGCCGAGATCACAGCAGTGCACTCCAGTCTGGGTGACAGAACAAGACACGAAAGAAAGAGAAATCAAGAGATCAAGAGACTGAGAGAGATATATGAAAGAGAGAGAGACATGAGAGAGAGAGTGAGAGATCCTGCCCTGCTCTAAACTCTCCAAGCCAGTCCCATGCCACACACTAATGAAGGCTCCCTTGGCAGCTTCTTGGCACAATGTGATCACCAATGTGCTAAAAGCAGCCAGTTCCAAAGCCTCCCTCAAAACCCACTCTCATTTGATGCTGTGTGTAGAATTCTCCCCTGTATGAAATGTGGCACCAGCAGAGCAATTACTGACAGAGAGAAATGAGTCCCTAAAGGCACCAGGAGGAGAACACGGAACACTGTGGTGCAGGAGTCATTTCAACTCGCCTTCAGTTTCTGGGGATGATGAGAGGGACATTATTGAGGGCAGCCTGGGATGGCAGAGGTGGCTACATTCATTCCAAACACAAATCACACCATGTCCTGGCTATAAATTCCAGCAGCGGCAGGTGTATGCTTCAGAGGAATAGCTTCTGCAATTAAAAAAGTGACATTTTAATGGATTATGCAGATCAGCTAAGGCTCTAAATCATAAACCTCCTGCCTCAGATGGAATTGAGAGTGCAGGCCAAGCAAGAAGAGGCAGCATAAACACTATGAAAATTTTATGGCTCCTTCTGACCTTTTTATACTTCACTATGAAACCGAACATTAACCTTCACTTCCCGAGTGGGTCCTTTCTGCTGCCTAACAAAGGCAATAGTTCATCTTTGTAATGACGCATGAGCTTGCTTGACTTTGTACCTCTTGAGCATCCCAAATGTTAAGTGATATGGTCCCATTACCACTGGAAATAAACTAAGCTGGGTTTTTTGGTAATGGAGTAAGGAATGAGAATAAGCAGGGAGCAAGTACAAGGCTCTCTAGAGGTAAAATGCACAAATTAAAACAGAAGTGTGGTCTAGAAATGTCTTTGGTGTTTTCTGTTTGCAAACCATGGAGGGAAGGTTTGGCCTTTTCTGTAAGGTCTAAAGCTAAGAAGATAAGAAAGGAGAGCTGTCTTTAAAGACTGTGGGGAAGACAGAAGTGCCAACAAAACATCAGAAATACAATGCAGTGAGTGCAGAAAGTGCTAGAAGAGTGATAGAAACCAAGCCAGTGAAAATCTTTATTAGGATGTCAAGGTCACAGAAAAGGTGGCAAAACCCACTGGTCTCACTTCAGAAAACAAGTCACCTTCTCAACTGTCATTTGAGAGTTGAACTCCCCCAAAGAGACGACAGAACCAAAGAAGTGAAAGGAAGCCATCAGGCCCATATGCCCCAGCCGTCTCATTTTATACACAAAGAAACTGAAGCAAAAGGTTAAATGACTTGCCGAAGATCACAGAGCAAGGAAATGGGCTGGCCTACAGCAAAAACCCAGGCTTCCACTCTCTTCAAACATGATGCTTTCCATTCCTCATTGAGAGAATGGGTCTCAAAGGGATTTTCAAGAGGGTGGTCCAGATGCACAGTAAATGTACCTACTTCTCATGCAACTGTGTGATGTGTCATGATTAATGAATGACTCAAGGAAGACGGGGCTGAGAACAAGATGAGGTGAACGTGGATGTGAACTATATTTGGGTCATGGGGAAAAGTACATTGCCCAAAGCCTGGGGTAGGCAGAATAAGGACAATGAACCCAAGTACACACACGCAGGTGTAATTTTTCTACCCTAATGCTCTGTACATTACACCAGCAGCCATTCATTTTCACCTTTCCTCTTTTGCCTGTAAAGAGCAAAGAAGAGCAGTTTATTTGTGCTCCTCTAGTTGCCTCTCCTCCCATTAAGGCTAACAGTCCAGCAGGCAGTAAAATGACAAGGAAGGGGAAAGAGAAGAGGCCAGTGCCTGAGGTCCCTTATCTGTGAAGCCACCGTGGCTGGATGGTAAAATGTTAGTAGCAGCTATGGTGGATAATGTCAACTGGCTTGCTCAACATCCAGTCCAACCCCCTTCTAGCACGATGAGGCTGGATAACCAAAAACTACACTTCCCAGATGCCCTTGCAGCAGAGGTTTTATGTGGGAATTAGGTTCCCTGGAGCAGATGCATTGCGCAAGATCTTGATTGAGAGCTAAGTCCTGTGCAGAGAAAGGCAGAGTGCAGCAGACCTGTTTTGCTGCTGGGGACCCTGGCTACAGCAGCACTATTCTTGGGCATCAGCCTCATGATTATGCAGAGGCAGCAGCTCTCTTGGCAGCCCAGTCCTTCAAGATAGTTTTTGACAGTTATTCCTGAAAGTTCAACTTAGTATTGGTTCTTCAGCCCTCCCATGGAGTCAGTAAGCAAATGTAGTACTAACACGTATAATAAATCCCATTTCAGCATAAACTAGCTAGAGTGAATTCAATTGTCTGCAATCGAACCCTAACAGAGTCATATATCAATATAATACAATTTTGCTTGTAATGAGCCTTGGTTTGAGATAGCATATAAAGAACAGGAACTAATAGTTGAGTACTTACTCTGTTCGGGGTACTGTATACATATCATATGACTCAATGCTCAAAAATACCTTGTCAGGTAGGGAGGAGTATCTCTATTTCACAAACAAGGACTTGGTTACACAGTTGGCAAGCTACTGCCAGGGGTCAGACTGAGAACCAAAAACGGCCTGTATCCAGACAGCTTACTGTCTATGCTAAAATGACTCTTCAGCTGACTTCCCTGCCAGGACTTTCCAATTCCATTGTCGTCATCAACATGACTTTGCTCTTCCTCAGGAAACTCTTTGCCAGAAAGATCAAAGCTGCAAAAATGTTATTATTTGTTTCAAGAACTTCTCAAAAACCTATTTACAACTGCTCAGTTTTTCAATATATAGCATCAAACCAAGTCTCTGCAAAACTCTGGCTTTGCTGTATCCACTAATCTTAAGCTTTTATATCATGCTCCACCCCATCCTCATGAAGACTCCCCAAAACCTCATAAATATCCCAATTTTACTCTATACCCTCTGAGACATTAAGACTCCATCAAGGCAAAGCTGACTCTGACCTCAGCAAGCAATAAACTCGGCCTTGCCTTAGCAGCAAGGGATTTGGTGGTATTTTAGGGAGTCACGATTCAATAAAACCCAGATCTCCCTATGTTCCTTCTGCTACACCTTGCTGGTTCCCATTTAGGTTACCAGCAATTTGGTATTTTCCCTGGACTGAGTGGCTCAGGAGTTTGGTACACAAAACTGAACAGGGCTGATCCCCATCCCTGCCAAAGAGCCTCAAACCTGGGACTCTTCCTAAGCACCATGCCCTCCTTGGCCCATCCACTAACCTAGGCCCTGGTTTTGGTGGGAGGTGGGGCTTCCATGACAAACTGAACTGTGACATTGAATCTGTTTTTTAATACAGATTTATAAAAGTAGAACCCAAATATCAAGTAAAGCCTGATTTTGGAATTTTTCAAATATTTTTATGTTCTTCCAATGGGCTTTCATCTGAATGTTTTTTGTTGTTGTTGTTCAATTTTTTTTTTTTTTTTAGCAAGGTGTTATTCTGTCACCCGGGCTAGAGTGCAGTGATGCACTCATAGCTCACTGCAGACTTGAATTCCTGTACTCAAGGGATCCTCCCACCTCAGCCTCCCAAGTAGCTAGGACTAAATGCCACCATGCCCAGTTCATTTAAAAAAATTTGTTGTAGGGTCTCGCTATGTTGCCCAGGCTGGTCTAGAACTCCTGGACTCAAGAAATCCTCCTGCCTCAACCTCCCAAAGTGCTGATATTACAGGTGTGAGCCACCGCACCTGGCCCACCTGGGCGTTTTTATAGTTTGGATATAGCAGAAATGGTGATGAAACAAACCATCAGTACTACAGAATATCAGATGGTTTTCTAACTCGAGCGCCTTGCAGCCCCAGCATGTGCTTTGAATCAGCTTTAGACTAACTGCATCTCAAGGAGAGCAATGAGGAAGACAATACTCAGGAAACTGGGCATCCCCTCCCCATTAAAAGGCCAACTGATAAAGGGCAGAGCCAGGGCCCACTCCAGTTTCCTAACTTCAGGTGCAGAGCTCTTTCCAGAACCTAAGGTATCTACCATTGGGTAAGTCAGCATAACAAGTAAACACAGTTATTAGAGTTAGACTGCCTGGGTTCAAATCCTGGCTCTGCCACTTTTAAGCTGACAACCATGGGTAAATTTCTTAACTTCTCTCTGACTCAATTTCCTCATCTGTAAAATGGGGATAATGACAACTCACAAGATTATGGTATTGATGAAAATAAGATACCATATGATATACATAATTTACCCTGAGTAATTATGGTAATTAGCTTAGCACATGGTGAGTACTCAATAAATATAATCGATTATTATCGTATAACATTAGAATCTTTCACTTTGCTACTGAAATATTTTGAAGTCCTGGAATCATACTCCCAGGTGCCAAAAATCTGGCCATAAAAAAGCAAACTGGGAACTGTAGCTACAGGTGCGAAGGATCAAAGGGAAGACTCCTTTTTACTAATTGTTACAAATATTGCTACATTAACCTCCCAGAGAGCACAGATGGTGAAAGAAAGAAACTGTCCCATTGCTTTGCTCAGACCAGAAACAACAGGGGAATGAACAGATATAAGTGAAGACTCACTTTGACGAGAGTGGGAACAGAAGATAGTAAGAGGGAAATGGGGAGAGGCCAGGGCAGGAGTGGAGAATAACCTGCATTTCTAACACACAAAACAATTAGAATTAATTTGGAATCCACTGTCAATCAAGCACGGGGGCATCATGTGATAGGGATAGAAGAGAAACGTTGTCTTGGCAGCAGAATGTTGAGCTGGTTGGCAAGGAGAGATGAGAAACAAGGAGCTTACTACTGCAAAGTTTTCAATCATCATTGACTAAAAGCACAGATAAGAGGCATTCACTGGAGATTCTCCTGACAACCAACTAATGAACCTGAGTGACTGGAACACTCACATGTTAAGATTCCCTTCAGAGAGTCTGGGTTGTTTAGCTCTTTGGAAATTCTTCTGAGGCGAGCAGGAGGATACAGAGATGTGAGGATGTATGACAGAAGGAAACAGCTCTGACTTCAGAGTGCTATTGTTAGAACCTTACAAGCTATGTGATTTTGGGCAACTTAACTTGTCTACACCTTGGTTTGAAAAATCTGCAACAATCGGCCAGGTGTGGTGGCTCACGCCTGTAATCCCAGCAATTTAGGAGGCTGAGGCAGGCGGATGGCTTGAGCCAGGAGTTTGAGACCAGCTTGGGCAACATGGCAAAACCCTGTCTCTACAAAAAATACAAAAAGTTGCCAGGTGTGGCAGTGCATGCCTGTAGTCTCAGCTACTGGGGAGACTGAGGCAGGAAGATTGCTTGAGCCCGGGAGGTTGAGGCTGCAGTGAGCCATAATTGCACCACTGCACTCCAGCATAGGTAACAGAGAAAGACCCTGTCTAAAAGAAAGAAAATCTGTGGCCGGGCACAGTGGCTCACACCTGTAATCCTAGCACTTTGGGGGACCAAGGCAGGTGGATCACTTGAGGTCAGGAGTTTGAGACCAGCCTGGCCAACATGGTGAAACCCCATCTCTACTAAAGATACAAAAATTAGCTGGGTGTGGTGGCACACACCTGTAGTCCCAGCTATTTGGGAGGCTGAGGCATGAGAATCGCTTAAGCCTGGGAGGCAGAGGTTGCAATGAGCCAAGATCACCTCACTACGCTCCAGCCTGGGCAACAGAGAGGGACTCTGTCTCAAAAAAAGGAAAGAGAAAGGGAAAGGGAAGGGAAGGGAAGGGAAGGGAAGGGAAATCTGCAATGATACCTATTTGATTGGTTTGCTATAAAAATTAAATAAAATAATGCATGTAAAAGTGATTTACTCTGTCCACAGTAGGCAAACAATAAGTGATGATGATAAAGATAAGAAATAAAGTTCTTACATCAGAAGAAAAACTACATGATTAAGATTTTTTTTTTTTAAGACAGAGTCTCGCTCTGTCGCCCAGGCTGGAGTGCAGTAGCGCAATCTCAGCTCACTGCAACCTCCACCTCCCCGGTTCGAGCAATTCTCCTGCCTCAGCCTCCCGAGTAGCTGGGATTACAGGTGTGTGCCACCACGCCTGGCTAACTTTTGTATTTTTAGTAGAGATGGGGGTTTCACCATTTTGGCCAGGCTGGTCTCAAACTCCTGACCTCAAGTGATCCACCTGCCTCGGCCTCCCAGTGCTGGGACTACAGGCATGAGCCACTGTGCCCAGCTGGGGAAGATTTTAATATAACAATTCTTTAGGCAGTTTGAAGGCAAAACTTTGTGAATGTCATCAGAGCTGAATAATGAAAGTGGGGCTACCCTGTTGACCATTCCTGCTGCATTTTGGAAGAGCAAGCCAAGATTCAGTGAGAACAAGTTAATAATTGAAGGGTTACATTCACAGAATTGTGAGGTGAGAAAAGCCTGGAATAAACAGTGAATCCAGTTGTCAAATGACTTTTTGGTGGTCAAGAGAGAGAAATTCCCAAGTAAAGGAACCCTCAGAAATAAAGTTACAAGTACAGCCAGACATATTTCACTTTATATAATGGGAATATCACCAAAGGTTATCAATTAGATTTTGTTAAATAGACTTATGTGATAAATGTACTATCTCACTTATTTAAAAGAACTTTGAGGTAAATTCCTTTGTAAAGGGAAAAGGAAGGAGAACTACTTTGCCTCTTTGCAAAACTACTTGAACATATGCAGATCCTATGACCCAGCCATTCACTTCTAGAAATATTCTCAATGGAAACACATACATATACAATAGAAATGACTACACATGTTCACCAAAGACATGTACTGGAATAATGATTAGCAGCAAAATTCTTAATAGCTAAAAAGGAAACCACTCAAATGCTCATTGCCAGAGGAATGAATTAATACATTGTGATACAATAGAATAGTATACAATGATTCGGATGAAAGAATCACAAATACACATGCCAACATGAATTAATGAAACTCACACACATAATGCTGAACAAGAGAAGCCAGACAAAAAAGAGGACATACTCTATAATTCCATTTATATTAATCTCAAAACGTTTAAAACATATCTATGGTAAGTTGAATGATCAGAAAAAGGTGGCATGAGGGGGACTTCAGGTGAGCTAGTAATGTTCTGTTTCTTGATCTAGGTGCTAATTACACAGGTGTGCTTGTTTTTGAAAATTAATCAAGTTATATACTTACAGTGTGTGCATTTTTCTATTACGTATGTTATACTTCATATAAAGTTTGCGTTAAAAAAGAAGAGACTGACTAGTATTTACCATTGGTAGCCACTGTGCTAGGAATTTTATCTGTTTACAATCTCATCTGACCTTGACAGACAACTGTACAAGGTTACGTTTTATCTCCATTTTAAGAAACAAGGTGGCAAAAGCTCTAAGATTATGTTACTTTCTCAAGGTCACACAGTTCACAAGTGGTGGATCTGAGGTCTGGACCCAGGTCTCACTGACTTAGAAGCTCATTCTCTTTCCATGAAACCACACTATACTCCATGAAGCATATTTTGGTAATAAAGATAACAATTTCTTTGATATACCTGTATTTGGCATTTGTTTATTAGGCTTCTGTAACACTTAAAGTGGGAGATATCAGTCTTCCCATTAAATGTCATCTTGTGTTTGATATTTTAAATAAAACACTGAAACTCCAGGACAAATGGCACCCAATGAAATAAGCTCCATGGTCAACTCAACTTGAGAAACTGAAGAAGACCGCAAAGCAAGTGTGCCTGAGAACAGATTAGGGAGAAGCCAGTTCAAATATCACCACGTTTCTTTTCCACAGAGGAAAAATAGATAAGCTAGAGAGGTGTTAAAAGCTTTCGGTGCAATACTTCCCATAAACCAAACTGGCATTCGGTCTCTCTCCCTGTCTTTCAAGTTCCTCTCCAAGCCTGAAGGTAGCAACATAAAAATCCCCGATTAAAGCTGACTTCTCATGAGTGATGCGATGTAGCTCTACCCAGAAGCTAGTGGAACAGAATCTCATTAGGAATCAGGCCTCTGCAACAGAATCACTGGTGTAACAAGAGGGGAAAATGAAGATTGATTCATGAAGGCCAGAAGGCTAACCTCTGCAAAAGCAAAATGCAAAGTTCTGCATGAACTCCCTCGAAAGTCCCCTCTCTCCTAAGTTTCTGAATTCCATCTCTCTGTGTGTGCTTGGAGAATTTGCTTCCCTCATTCTTTCCTCCCATATCATCTTCCTCTCTCCCTCACCACTGGCTTCTGGGCATCTCAGATTCTGAGATAAGCTCTGAGGCCAGAATCTCTGGGCTCAAATCTCAGCTCTACCACTGACTTACCAACGACCTTGGGCAGAACCTAACCTTCCTGTGCCTCAGCTGTCTCATCTATAAAATGGGGATAATTGTAGCTACCTTGGAGTTGTAATTAAATGAGTCAATAAAGGTAAGATACTCAGAGTAGTGCCTGGCAACACATAGCACTAAGTAAATATTAGTTATTATTATTATTATTAACCATCTACACTATTCTCCACATATACAATTCTCAGAAAAAAAGATAATTATCTTTCTTGGTAATTGCTGTTTATTTTCTTCATAGTACTAAGTATCTCAAAGTATTTACATTTATTTATCTTCATTCAGTCTTCTCCCACAAAAATATTATCCCCATGACAACAGTTACCTTCTCCTTCTTGTTCACCACTCTATGTCTGATTACCAAATACAGTTCCTGGAATATAGAAGACTCAACAAATAGTACTAGAATAAATGAACTGCAATGATAACTATCCTTCATTATCCAAATTATTTCCATTTCTGAGACTGAATAACAACTTTGGACAGTGAGAGATATGTTATCTAAATCTGCTTAATTCCCAATTTTTTGACAGCACCAGCAAGAAAGGTTTGGAGAACAAGGGATTGATCTTAAAATGTATTTGTAGCCATTTGATTTCTAATTTTGAATGACAAAGGATGTCTGTATTTGAAAAGAATAGCAAACAAAGGTCTGTCTTCTTTTCTCCCTGGAAATTTCTGTAGGCAAATAGGCCTTTCCAATAGCTTCAGTCGCCTTTGCCCTAGTCTCTGGTCTCTCTTCTTTGTTAACACTCCTTATCCTGACATTTAGATCATAATCCTGGAAGAAGATGGGCAGTGATGTTTCAGCACCACGGACAGCAATAAGTGGATTGGAGGAGTATGTCTTTGGTTTTTTTTTGGAAATTTGTCTCTACTTACTAGCAAAATTATGACTTTTAATAAGATCACAAACTAAACACAATGCAATTGGTATAACAGTAACAAAACCTCTATCTACTGAGCATTTTAACATGGTAATATTTGTGTAAAAAGTATTTCATATATTATATTTATAATAAACTAATGAAAAGGTGTTGCCTACATTTCTTTTCTCTTTTATTCATATACAACATTTGTATATATTTTGGGGGTACAAGTGAATTTTGATACCTGTATACAATATGTAGTGATCAAATCAGGGTGATTGGAATATCCATAATTTTAAACATTTATTTTTTTCTTTGTGTTGGGACCATTCCAAATCTTTTCCAGTTATTTTGAAATATATAATAAACTACTGTTAACTATAATTTCCCTACTGTACTACTGAATCCTAGAACTTATTCCTTCTATCATCACTTTATGACTCAAACTATGAGGAATGCAGTTGTTCAGATTAAGAAAGACTCCACAGCAATTCCTGTATTTTGCTATGACTTGAGTTTTAATGAAGAATATTTCATAAGTTGGTTTTTTGGCTTGCTTGCTTTATTAATGCTGAATGAACTTGACTTCTCTATAAGGAAACTAATACTTCTGAGTGCCCGTATGTGCCAGGCACTTTTTGAGAGTCTTTATATACACTTCATCTCATTTAATTCTCATATCAGTACTACAACAGCACTGGATTTAGAGCCAGAAAGTCCTAGATTCAAATCCTGACTCGATCTTGAAACAGTTACTTAACCTCTCTCTAAGCCTCTTTTTTAACGTATAAAATCAAGCTAGTATTTCCTAACACCCTGAAAAAGCCAGTCTAAATTCTCCTTTATAAGAAATCTCAAAATTTTTATTGTAAAATTAGGATAATAACTGCTTACTGCAGGTTGAGTGAGAGGTAGAAGGCAACAGAACACTAAGGTGAGAATTAATTGCCAAATATCTGAGACAGTGAGAAGGCTACCCTGGTATCAGTGAAAGAAGAAGGGTAGGATGCAGGGAGTTGGATATGTGGATGAGGAAGAGCAAGAGCCAAACTCCAGAGAGCCTTGAAAGCCAAACCAAAAAAATCAGATACATCAAAAGCCTTGAAGAACTTATCTAATGGCCAGGACCATGTTTTCCATTTCTTTCTCACTCTACCCACTATCACTACCATAGGGCTGTCACATAGTAAGTGCTCCATAAATGCACATTTATCAAATAAATGGTTCTGAGGAAGGTCAGAGAGTATCTAATGGCTTGGGTACAACCCAAAACGATTACAATGTGATGAAATGATGGGCTGGATCTAAGAAGGGGACGTGGAAGTGAGATAATTCCAAGGTCCTACAAGTTGATCCAAAAACCAACTACACAAAACCCAGACGGAGAGATGGGGGTGTTCACTCTGGCTTCAGGGAACAGTGAGCCTCTGCATATACCATTCTATTCACCCACTCAATCAACAACTAATATTGAACACCTATTCTGTGCCAAGAACTGTGCTAAACCATAGGACTGGGACAGATACATACCCTACTTTCAAAGAAGCTTACATTCTAGTGTGAGAACACAAATCCCCCTCCCCAAAATACCCCAATAAATAAACTATAAGCAACCCTCACTACTTAAACCTATGAGAGTTTGTACACAAGTCTAGTTAGTGAAGGATGCCACCTCACGCATTCAGGGCTCTCTGAGCTTCAAAAGATTAACCAAAGTTCTTTAGAGTAATCAAAGATCAGATGGTAGCGATTTACTTGATAAGTAACTGAATCTACTCAGTTCCTGAGTTTGGACACAGAGGTTAACTTGCTGATATAAGATGGATGAAGAAAACAACCAAGAAACTGAAATGGGAAAGAGGAAGGAGGACCTTTTCTATGCAGCAGAATGTCAAGTGGGATTTGTATTCTAATTGTTCAGTGCAATGGTTCAGAAAAAAAAAAACTGAGCACAAAAGGCTCTACATATTCATGTTTAATTTCAAAGAGCTACCAGCTTTGGTTCGACAACCTGCACTTCCTCACAGGGCTCTTTGAGAGTCATCAGGGTGGAGATTCAGTTCTCCCACCCCATCACCATCACTGGCTAACGTAAGAAGAAATCTAGGGACCAGAGCAATGATCTTGCAGGGAATTCACTGTTCCTTTTCCTCGCCCCTCTGCAGGAAGAAAATGGGTGATTCCTCACTATGGTAGATCACCACCAAAGAAGACTGCCAACAATTCCTCCCTTCCCTGTATACATACACTTCATCAAGATGTGCAGTCTCCTTCACCCCCTTTGAATCTAGGCTGACCTTGTTATTGCTTTGACAATAGAATGTGATGGAAGAAATGTTCTAGGACATCTGATCCCAGGCTTTAAAAGTCCTGGCAGCTTCTGTTTTCTTGCTGGGATGAAGTCGGCTGCCATGTAAGAAGCCAAACTACCCTGAGACCTCCATGCTATGAGGAAAGCTAAGTTAGCAACATAGTGGAACCATGTAGCTATCCAAGTTGGTCCTCACTGTTTAAGCCATCCCAGACATGGTGAAGCATATACTAGCCATCTCCCCTGTGCCCTGTGGAATGGGATACATCAAAAGGGCATAAAGGGGCCTGCCAGCTGGATAAAGCAAACCACACACTGTATTCCAATGAGAGCAGGAACCACCACTGAAAATTCTCCTCTCAGTGCAGCCATCGGGTTCAGGTTCAGAGAAAAAATTGGAAAGAGGAAGAAGGGCAGAGTGAATCCGGGACAAGCCCCATGGGTGGTGGCCTCGACCTTCTGGGCTCAAGCAATCCTCCCACCTTAGCCTCCTAGGTAGCTGGGACCACAGGTGCATGCCACCACGCCCAGCTAATTTTTTTATTTTTATTTTTTGTAGAGACTGGGTCTCCCTATGCTGCCCAGGCTGGTATCAAACTCTTAGCCTCAAGCAATCTTCCCTCCTCAGGCTCCCAAAGTGCTGGTATTACAGGCATGAGCCACCATGCCCGGCCACTACTAGTATTTATAGATGAGGAGATAAGGTTCAGAGAAACTCCAGTAAGTTTTCCAAGATCATGCTCACAGCAAATGACAGAACTGGGATTTGAATCCAGATCAGAATGGCACCGTAGCTCAAATAAACACCAAGATCTGGCATGTAGTGCAAGAGCTGTTACTTTAATTGCATATTTAAGTTTTAATGGACTTTTATTTTGTGTACACATATTTCTTCAACACAAACTTTAGTGGTAATTCTGAAGAAAGGTTAAGTAAATATAAAATGTTTTTACTGATAGAATACTGCCTTGTTTTGTTGTGTTCTTTTTTATATTTTGATTTTCAAGATGTTTTCGTAATGTAAATAGGAACAAATGAAAGCACTGATAAATAGGTTGCAACCCTCCATCCTTCCAGATATACTAAAAAAGAACCAAATAAATAAAGACAATGTTTAAGAAGTTTTATGGTGCTTTGGGGTTTTTGCATCAAATTGCAGTAAAGATTCTAATTCTTTTTTTATTATTTTGGGGGCTAGGGTGACATTTCTCCAAAAAGGACATCATACCTAAATGGGGCCCCAAGACAAACGAGTTTTATTATGGGCTGCAATAATGACTTTTTAGTTTTCTAGAAAGGAATATCACTTGCTTATTAAGAAGGTCACATTTTGGGGCATGGCAACTTAAGTTAGTTGGTGAATGTTGAGGCTGCATATTAGGTTTTACTGAGGCCTATTATTATCCCCTTTGTGCTGGAAAGTATCTTAAATACTGGTGACACAAGAATAAATTTTTTTTTAAGTTCCTGCTCTTGCAGCATTTAGGTTCTAATGGGGAAAAAGTTAAATAGGACCCAAAAGTGGTAAGTGCTATGAAGAAGCTAAAGTAAGATGAGGTGCTGGGGAGTGCCAGGCTACCTTAAATTGGGGGGCCAGGGAAGGCTTCTCGAAGAGGTGACATTGGAGCTACCGTGTGAGTGGTAAGGGGTAGTAGCTATGGGAAGATTTGAGGAAGAGATTCTAGGCAGAAAGAATACCAGTTGCAAGGGTTTGTGGGGGTAGAAATGAGGTTGAAAGGAGGCTGGTGTGTTTAAGAAACCAAAAGAAAGTTACTGTGGCTGGAACATGATTTGCAAAGGGAAGAATTATACAAAGTAAGATTAGAAAGGAGGCAGAAGGAGTTAGATCACAGGGTCTTATGGTCACCATAGGAGCTTGGGTTTTATTTTATTGAGATGGAAAGCTTTTAGAGGCAGTGCTACACAATCTGAGGAGCATATTTAAAAGATACTCTGGCTGTACTGTGGAGCAGAAATTGCAGTGCTGGGCAGCTGGGCAGTGGGGTGGGAGCGGGTTGTTGTTGAAGTCAAGAGTGGAAGCAAGACAAGTTGTTGGGAAGCCTTACAGTGGTCTGCCAAGGTTTACCATGATTGAGCATGAAGAGTGGTAGTGGAAATGCTGACAAGGGGATAGAGTTGGAAGCCATCCACACTGAAATGGGAAGAACATGTCTGGGGGTAGAATTCAAGAGCTGCGCTCTGGGCATTTCAGCCAAGATGTGCACTAGACCAGCAAGCATATTGCAAAAGAGATGCCGGCACTGTATGAATAGCAGCTGCTGACGACCCCTCCAGTGACTTCGCACCCAGAAATCCTGGGGTCCTAAGCCCCTACCTTCATAGATATTATCAGGAAGTCCTGTGACTCTAAGGGTTGTTTGCCTGTGGGTGAAGAGAGATCTGGCATTCTTAAGTGGTGGCTGGGCATGGTGGCTCACACCTGTCATCCAGCACTTTGGGAGGCCGAGGCAGGTGGATCACCTGAGGTCAGGAGTTCAAGACCAGCCTGCCCAACATGGCAAAACCCCATCTCTACTAAAAATACAAAAATTAGCCAGGTGTAGTGGCAGGAGCCTGTAATCCCAGCTACTCGGGAGGCTGAGGCAGGGATAACTGCTTGAACCCAGGAGGCAGAGGTTGCAGTGAGCAGAGATCTCACCTCTGCACTCCAGCCTGGGCGACAGAGCAAGACTCCATCTCAAAATGACAATAATAATAAAAGTGGGCGAAGGACATGAACAGACACTTCTCAAAAGAAGACATTTATGCAGCCAAAAAACACATGAAAAAATGCTCACCATCACTGGCCATTAGAGAAATGCAAATCAAAACCACAATGAGATACCATCTCACACCAGTTAGAATGGCAATCATTAAAAAGTCAGGAAACAACAGGTGCTGGAGAGGATGTGGAGAAACAGGAACACTTTTACACTGTTGGTGGGACTGTAAACTAGTTCAACCATTGTGGAAGTCGGTGTGGCGATTCCTCAGGGATCTAGAACTAGAAATACCATTTGACCCAGCCATCCCATTGCTGGGTATATACCCAAAGGACTATAAATCATGCTGCTATAAAGACACATGCACGCATATGCTTATTGCGGCATTATTCACAATAGCAAAGACTTGGAACCAACCCAAATGTCCAACAATGATAGACTGGATTAAGAAAATGTGGCACATATACGCCATGGAATACTATGCAGCCATAAAAAATGATGAGTTCATGTCCTTTGTAGGGACATGGATGAAATTGGAAATCATCATTCTCAGTAAACTATTGCAAGAACAAAAAACCAAACACCGCATATTCTCACTCATAGGTGGGAATTGAACAATGAGAACGCATGGACACAGGAAGGGGAACATCACACTCTGGGGACTGTTGTGGGGTGGGGGGATGGGGGAGGGATAGCATTGGGAGATATATCTAATGCTAGATGACGAGTTAGTGGGTGCAGCGCACCAGCATGGCACATGTATACATATGTAACTAACCTGCACATTGTGGACATGTACCCTAAAACTTAAAGTATAATAATAATAAATAAAAATAAAAAAATACAAACATTAAAATAATAATAATAATAATAAAGTAGCAAATGCCATTCTAACTTCTGATCTCTGAAAGTGGCCTAAGGCACTTGACAATTCCCAAGGCCTAGACGTGTGTGAATCTTGTTTACAACAAGGTATACTTCTCCTGTCTTAGCACTTAACAAAGAACGCATTTCTCTCCTATCAAGATCACTCTGCTTCAATATTTGACTACGACTGATGTGACCACGAATGTAAATAAATCAATCATAGCATGGACCACCAAAAGACAAATCGTTCTTCTCACACAAAAGCTGTATGAGACACCTCTGCACCTCTGTTCAGAGCCTGAAATTCAGCCATGCACCTGGGAAGCAGCATCGAGCCAAAGTGGCTCTTTTCCGGATTTGCAACACAATCAAAATGAAATCTGGCTTTTGGAAAAATTTCCATTTCACTGGCCACTTAGCACCCTCATTCTCTAAAATGCAATTACCTCTCCTGTGATGCCAACTGGAAAATCTAAGGCACTTGGAAACTCTTTAAAGGTCCAGAAAGTCCTCCTGTTGCCAACCTTCTTTGAAGAGGATCTGCAAAGTCCCTGATTTATACATTTGCTGCCAGTAAGGAGCTATCTGGCTACATGTTAAGTAATCTCTAGCAGGTCTAGAGAAGAAAAACGAATATGTTGGTACTTAGACAGTCCTTTTCCTTAAGCCTTCCAGGGATTCTGAAAAATTTTTCCTAACACCATGCAAATCCCCACTCTGTGTTGGTGGTATAATGGGCTTACCCCTTCCATGAGTGGATTTGGCTTTTCCATTAGGAATGGAAGCATATTTGTTGGCTTTAAGCTGTCAAATCCATTAAGTTTTGGTTTTCTTGCATTGGGTTCAGAGTAAAACATATCTATATAATTGCTTTTCATTTCAATATTAGGGTCATGTGTCACAAAAAACAAAATCAACAGTGATAAACTTCAGTAATCTGAGCATTTCAAGGAAGGCTTTTAGGAACCCATAGAATCAACAAGAAGGATGGCAAATTAGGCATGGAAACCAAGGCAGTTCTGGAGGTTCTAGAAGCAGCCTCTCTGGCAGTGGTCCTACCCTTCTTGCACACTGGAATCACCAAGGGAGATTTTAAAGCTTTTAAAGAAGATTGATGTCTTGACCCCATCCTCTAAGATTCTGGTTTAATTGCCCTGGGATAGGACTGCTGTCACTGGGTATCTGCTGTTAACAATGACTGCACTCCAATCATCCTCAGTCCCTGGGTCACAATGATCAAGCTAAAATTCCAGGGGAGTGATGGGACTATCAGCTTAGTTTGATTCCCAAGTCTGCCCCTTGGCTAGGGAAGGACAGGGCACTTGGTTACCAGCCTTACCCAACTTCGGAACTGTGGCACTAGGGAAGAGGTAGTTCCCCAAAAGGAGAATGACGTGCTCTTAGGAGGGAAAACAGATGTCAGACAACTAAAATGACAATTCTCCATCATTATTTCTACATATAAAAGCAACAATTTAGTTGATACACAAATGCACGTCCTTTTCTCCCCTATAGGAAACACTCCACATGACTCAGGAATGTTGTGTGCAAGATCATCCTCTTCAACAGACCGGGACTCAGGGAGACAGAGATGTAAGATGCCCCCAGCACAGCATAAATGTGCAGTCAAGCTCATCATCTGTCTCAGTCCACAGAGTGGGTAGTTTATAAAGAAAAGACATTTATTTCTTACAGATCTGGAGGCTGGGAAGTCCAAGATCAAGGTGCCAGCATCTGGTGAGGGCCTTTGTGCTGCATCATCCTATGGCAGAAGATGGAAGAAGGGGGCAAGAGAGCAAAAGATCCAACTCTCAGCCTCAAGCCCTTTTATAATTGGTATTAATCCATTCATGAGGGTTGGAGCCCCTCCTCCCAACAGTGTTATGTTGGGGATTAAGTTTCCAATGCATGCTTTTTGGGAGACACATTCAAACCACAGCATCACCCCAGCTGCAGCTCAAATGGAAAAGTCACCACTGCTGCACTGAGCCAAGCCACAAGGGAAAGACCAAGACCTTCCATCATCACCATCATAAAGTGGAGGTGCAGGTCAAACAACGAGGAATCCTGTTTTTTCTACCTTTAAATTAGAAATCATGACAACTGCATGGAATCACACTAAAGGAAAACACTGTGTTTTCCTGATCACGAATACAAGCTGTATCACTCCCCCTCCTCCCTCCACATTAGTACTGCGAATACTAATGTTAACAAAGCAGAAAAAAAAGTTCCTCCAAACAGCGCTGAGATCTACCCGAATGATTTGATATGCATCTGATGACAGTACTGCAGGCAGACAGAATAATGAATAGAATGTGTGGGATAGCTTTTGATAGGAAACACTGTACCCATGCCTGGGACAATAATAAATCTAATCTCGCTAAAGAAGCAGAACTAACACAGTGACCTATGCAGCACAATTATCAAGGCTGTTGACATCTCTGATTGTCTCGGAGATTGTTCCAGTGTTTGAAAAGAAATCAAGGGGCTTCCTCCGAGCAGCCTAAATAACAAAAAGTAGAACCACGTCCAGGACTATTACCTGTGCGAAATTCCACTTGGAGTCAGATGACAGAGAAAGATAAAACCTCTCTAAATCCTGCCATATCCCACGCACACCCTAGTCTTCACGTCCCTTCACTCCAGGGGTTCCTAGTCCAGGGTTCAAGGTCACCCTGAACTCACTGAAATCTTATACAAAATTGTTCTTTTTGGGGTTTTTTTGAGACAGAGTCTTGCTCTGTTTTCCAGCCTGGAATGCAGTGGCACGATCTCAGCTAACTGCAACCTCTGTCTCTGGGTTCAAGTGATTCTCCTGCCTCAGCCTCCCCAGTGGCCGGGATTACAGACACACACAACCATGCCCAGCTAATTTTTGTATTTTTTGGTAGAGATGAGGTTTCACCATGTTGGCCAGGCTTGTCTCGAACTCCTGACCTCAGGTGATCTGTCCACCTTGGCCTCTCAAAGTGCTGGGATTACAGGCATGAGCCATCGCAACTGGCAGCAAAATTTTGCATGTATGTGTCTCCCTGGGCAGAGGTACCACAGGTCCCATTAGATGTTTGAGAGGGTTGGTAACCCACAAAAAGGTTTAGACCCACAGCTCTGTGGAAACTCTATATCCTCCACCTCACCTATTCTGACCTCCTCCCTAGACCTCGCCCTCTACAAATAGGTCTTGTGTGCATTTGAACTTTGATAGAAACCAGCTCTCTCTTCTAGCACTTGATGGCCATGCCCTCTTTGTCCCAGTAGTGGTTTGTCACTGGTCAGAGTGGAGAAGGGGGCTTCCATCAGCCTTAGATATCCTGAAAGTCTCACTGCCTGTGGTCAGGGATGCCTTTACAAAGTGGACTGACACCATTCTGTTTTCAGACAGCTACAGCCCTCAGAGATTCAGATTTCTTAGAGAAAACAGGGCTTCTTCTATAGAAAAATTAAAACTTAAAAAGGGATTTGTTGGGAAGGATGTTTTAGTTTTATTTTTTTTAGCTTGGGCTTCAAAAGTACTTCCAGATTCAAAACCTGGTACATACAGGAAAATAGCCCAATAGAAAATGTAACTAGACACTCTTGGCTGATTGGAAAGTTATAAACTGGAAGGTCCTTCTTCCCATAGCCCCTAACTTCTTTTGTATACACTATGGATTGTGTACATAAGCCCCTTCTTCCCACAACCCCTAACAAATTAACGTTAGCCCTACAATTTCCTATGTATTCCCCTATTCTTTGGTCTTGCATCATACTGTAGTGCCATGTGAACCGTGTAGTACCCAAGGGGATTGAAAGCCCTGTGTGACTGCTGATAGCCAGCACGGTTTTCACATACCACCCTACACATGCTATGCCCTTGATGGTTCCTCAAGACCAGGATTCCATGAGGCTTCTCACTATACCTGCACTTGAAGTCATTAGTCATCTGTTTAAAACACATGGATTTGGCAACTTATGAATCAGGCACTAAGCCAGACATAAAATTGTCAAGCATAAATGGTCTCAGCCCTCAAGAAACTCAGAGTCTAGTTGAGGAGACAGACACTTATACCATTAGTTACAGTGCAACGTAAGAGGAATGACAGATAGGAACAAAGTGCTAAAATAAACAGAGGCATGAACAGGCTGATTCTATTTGTCATACAAGTAGCAGATTCTTGCTGTGCAAAGTGTGGCTGATGGACCAGCAGGGTGGGCATTACCTGTTGTCTTGTTAGAAACTCAGACTCTCAGGCCCCACCTCAGACCTACTGAAGCAGAATCTGCATTTTGATAAGATCCCAGGTAATTCACGGGCATTTTAGAGTTTGAGAGCACGGTGTTAAATGTCAATGCAAAGGCAGGCACCTGAGTCCCTGCTAACATTTCTAACTGCAGCTGGAACTAGAATGCGCCAAAAGTAATGGGTGTGGGGAAGGGAGGCATTTTACATCTGTTTTAATTTATAGGGATGTAGAATTTAGAAAAAGCTGGCTAATTAGAAGTAAAGTGGGCCAGGCACAGTAGCTCATGCCTGTAATCCCAGCAGACTGCTTGAGCTCAGGAGTTTCAGATCAGCCTAAGCAACACGGTGAAACCTCATCTCTACTAAAAATGCAAAAACATAGCTAGGCATGGTGGCACACACCTGTGGTCCCAGCTACTCGGGAGGCTGAGGTAGGAGGATCACTTGAGCCCAGAGGGCGGAGGTTGCAGTGAGCCAAGATTGCACTACTGAACTCCAGCCTGGGTGACAGAGCAAGATACTGTCTCAAAAAAAAAAAAAAAAAGAGGTAAAGTAAGTAGTTCTGTCAACTTCCATACTACACTCAGAACCTTCATGCCTGGGGCCTTGGATAAGAGGAGAAAGATAATCTGTTCTCCCCAGTGTTCTCAACTGCCCAATAACTCAAGTCCTGTGTTGTACTATTAATAGCAAAATGGGACTAGAACCCCACTTTCCTGATTTGCCATGGGAAGATACGAAACTTATTGAGTAGTTATGAAGAATAACTCCAGAGTCAGAAAGACTGGGTTTGAATTCAAACCTTCCCATTTACCATCAATCTGTATAACCTTGGGTGAGTCACCTAATTTCTCTTAATATGTCTGAATTCTTACAACTGTAAGAAGTCACACCTATCTCAAAGATTATTATGAGAATGTATTGAGATAATGGTTATACATTTTCTAGATCATTGAGTGCCTCGCATATAACAAGAATCAATAACGTTTGATCTTTTCATTTTTATTAACTGTTGCAGTGGACTCTGGCAGTTGTTCACCAAACCCATTTCCCCTCATTCCTGAGCACACAGCTAGACTACATTTTCCAACGCCAATTCTTGGAATGTCCTGGCCAATGGAATGTAGTTGGAAGAGACAGATGCCACTTCTGGGTCTGGCCCATCAAAACTTCCTGTGTGACCCGCCATTCCTTTTGCCCATTTGAATCCACATGTCGATGTCCAGGGTGCCTTTGGAAACCATGGGATGAAGATGGCAGCATCTCCATCAGCCTGGGCCTCTGAATGACTACATGGAGCAAAACTACATCACCTCCATTACTAACTGGACTGTACATGAGTAAGAAATAAACTCCCACTGTGTTGTTAGGAAATGAATGTTTGTGTCCTTCCAAAATCCATACATTGAAGCCCTAACTCTCAACATGATGGTATCAGGAGATGGAGCCTTTGGAAGTAATTAGATTAGGACACCAGGGTAAGGCCTTCAGCATGGCCCTAGAGTAAGAGAAAGAGAGATATCTTTCCCTCTCTCTCCCTCTGTCTCTGTCTCTCTCTGCATGCACACATGCCTTGTAAGCACACAGCAAGAAGGCAGTGATCTATAAGGTGGGGAGCGAGACCTTACCAGAAACCAATCCTGCTGGCACCCTGATCTTGGACTTTCAGCCTCCAGAACTGTGAGTAATAAATTCCTGTTGTTTAAGCCACCCAGTCTTTGCTATTTTGTTATGACATCCTGAACTGACGAAGACATGCTAAGACAGAGATTTCAGGGTATATCTGTTCCAGTGGCTAGCATCACCCAACGACAGCTGGCCAGCACAGCATTCAGATTTTTCACAGTTTACCTCACAGGGTTGTTGTGAGGATTTAACAACATAACAAATGTAGAAATGTACTGTAAACTGTGAAGTGCTATGCAAATATCTAGAGAGAGAATACTATATTCTGAAGTCAGGACCTAGTTCACATCCAAGCACTGTTGCATGCAAACTGGGTGACCCTGCATAAATTATTTACACTCTCTGAGCCATCTAGAAAATAGAAATAAGAATAAAACTCACAGTGCTCTTAGGCAGGTGAGAGAAACTCTGACACATGAATGCATTCTAGAAGTAAAAGCTATTGTTCTAAATGTAATATGACTTAGTTGTTAGGAACGAGCCTTTCTGAGTTCAAACCTCTGATCTGTTACTTCCTGGTTAGTAATCTTAGTAGGCAAGTTAATTAACCTTTATGTGCCTCAATTTCCATACCCACAAAATTGGGATTATGATAGAATCTACCTCCTATAGTTGTTTTACTGAATGAGTTGATACAGAGAAGGCTCCTAAAACAGCATCTGATATGTGGAAAGCAATTAATCAATGCTAGTAACTATTAAACAAGACACAAGAATTAGAGGCTTCAATTACCCAAAATTTTCTGTTTTGCTCATTTTGGCCTCCCTTCCCATTAAAATGTACAATATTTTACCTTTGACAACTAAAATATTAGACTTAGTCCTTTTGTCATCCTTTAATATTTTTTCTTCAAGAAAATTGAGGAGGAGCGCACTTGTAGATGGATTGTTTCACATTCAGGAATTATCCATAGACTAAGCCATGGAGATATAAATACTTATGACATTAACATTATTCATTTTCTTAACACTGCCTTTGAGTTTGAGCATTACAAACATAGACTCACTAATGCAAGAGCCAATCAGCATGAAAGTTCATATTTGCCAACCATATTTAGAAGTGCTAAGATTCTAAAATCTTTGAAGTCTTTGTTTTACCAATGAGAAAGCTGAGAATTGGAGATGTTAAGTGACAGATAATAAGATCACATCCATAATAGGAGGGATCAGAACCAGTCTCGCAATGCCCAGTTCCTGGACTACCCTATCATCCTGCCTCCCAGGGATGGGAAAGGGAGGACAGGAAGCAAAAGAATTTTTAAAAAGCTTTGAAAGGTGATTCTAGAACATTCCATTTCCAAGATTTCAATCACATGTAAGACACAAAGTTCTTACTCCCCAACCAATCCTGATCAACTGTGAATCCTAACATACCTCATTTTGGTCTTCCAACTTTGGACCCTACCCATTTATAGGGGGTCTCAACCCTGACTGTATATTAATATCACATAAGAAAACTTCCGGAAAATACTGATGCCTAGATCCCACCTCAGACTAATTAAATCAGAATCTCTGAGGATGGGTTTCAAGTATTTTTTAAAAATGTTCCCAAGTAATTCTAAAATGCATTCACAGTACGAATCGATGTTTCAGCTCACAAACTTCTGAAGGCAAGGCAGAAAAGAATGGCCACCAAAGCTGAGATGCTAGAACTTTGCTAGAACATCTCATTCCCCAAAGCTCCTTGTCATCCACTCAGTCATTCAACAAACATTCAAGACCGTCTGGATGTTGGCTGCTAAGGATACAAGAATAGACCAAAAAAAAAAAAAAAAAAAAAAGAACAATAGACCATGGTCCCTGCCTCCAGGGCTCATCATCCAGCAACCTGCCCCCCACCTAGTGGGCTAGACTTCTTGGTCAGTACATACCACCTTCCATCTCACAGTCCCACCCCTCCAAATTAGTCTCCATGATCCGCAAGAGTCTTGCAGATGATCTACAGCTAGCGCTGAGAAAAAGAGATGGTTAATAATCTTCTCAAATAAGATTGTCCTTGCTTGGAAGCTGATCTCAAAAGTTTGACATCTAACAAAACAACTAGACTTTCCATTATTAGATGTTATCTTTTCCCCATCAGCGGGCCTCCTAAAGGTCGAGGCAGAGTGGAAAAATGCAATTTATGATTGAGTGAATAATAAATTGCTATGGAGATCCACATAATACTTCTTTATATTCATCATGTACACAGGCTCTGTTTAAAATGCTTAAAGCCACTTGCTTTCATGGGTCCATAAAGTGTTTGATGGCAATGTAGTGGTTTCCATAAATGAAATTTTCAAGAACTGATAAACTGAAGTAAGTCTTGGGTAGAACAACGCTGAGAATACCTGCTCCATCATCAGCAGTGGGGCTTCTATGACATACCTGATCACCATCAGAAATTGAATTTTGCAGGTAGCTCCTTGGTTGAGTTATTCATAGATTTTTTTTTTAATCTGGAAAGACCTTGACATTTGAAATATGTTAAGAGAATGGCTAGACGTAGGCAATGATTCAAAGGATAATTTGTCCTTCATGAAAAGACAAAGTAAAAAGCTCTATGGTGTCTCTATCAGAAATCATTTACTAACCTTTAATAAAACATTGTTCTGAGTATAATATCTTTATTACAAAGACTTAATTAAATTAATTATAAAAGTATCATTTCACACATAAAGTATATGCATTAAGTAGTTAAATTCGTTTTGAGTAGGGGTAGCCCCAAGGAATTTCCTCTGAACAAAATTTGCCAAAATAAAAAACATACAAATGTCTTAAACCAAGAGAAACAATTGAAAAACCAAGCAATGTATGATCCAAAATCAATCTTAAAAGACACAGATTCTCTGGATATATACCCAGAAGTGGAATTGCTGGATCATATGGTAGTTTTATTTTTAATTTTTTGAGGAACTTCCATACTGTTTTCCACAATGGCTGTACTAACTTACATTCTCACCAACACTGTATAAGACTTCCCTTTTCTCCACAGCCTCGCCAATATTTACCTCTCGTCGTTTTGAAAAAAAGTCATCCTAACATGTATAGGGTGATGTTTCATTGTGGTATATACCCAAAGGAAATAAAATCGGTATGTCAAGGAGATACCTGCACTTCCATGTTCACTACCACATTATCCACAATGGCCAAAATACGCAATCAGCCTAAGTGTCCACTAACAGATGAATGGATAAAGGAAATGCGGAATATATACATGATGGAATACTATTCAGCCTTAAAAATGGAAATCCTGTCATTTGTGATGACAGGGATGAAACTGGAGGACATTATATCAAGTGAAATAATCCAGGCAATGAAAGACAAATACCAAGGATCTCACTTACATATAAAGTCTAAAAAAGTCGAACTCATAGAAGCAGAGAGTAGAATGGAGGTTACCAGGGGCTGGGGTTGGGGTGGGAATGGGGAGATGTTAGTCAAAGGATATAAAATTTCAGTCAAGAAGAATACATTCAGAAGATCTATTGTAAAACATGGTGATTATAGTTAACAACAAAGTATTGTACACTTGAAAATTGCTGAGATTTTAAATGTTCTCACCAAAAAAAATGATAAAAATGTGAGGTAACTGATATGTTAATTAGCTTTATCTAGTCATTCCACAATGTATACATAATCATCATATTGTACACCATAAATATATAACAGGTTTTTTTAATCTGGAAATATCTTTAATTGACCTTTGCCAATTAAAAAATAAATAATTTAAAAAACAAATAGATACTTTTGTCATGAAAATCACTTATTCTTTAAATAAGGTACACATTGACAATGACTTTGACTCATTCACTATTAATAAGACATCTTTTGGAATGTCAAAAGATAAATTTTGTAGAAGATTGAACATGCATTTTGTAGCTAGGCATGAGAGAAAATAATAAAAGAAATCAACCTCCCCCCAATGCCATTGCAAAAGAAACTACAGATTCTTGAAAATTTTGGGACTCGAAAGGGGCAAGTTGACAAGATGCTTCCTCCCCTTGGTCCAACTTTTTCAATGGGCAGGCTGGGACAGGAAGTCCTTTCCTAAAACAATGGGAAGCACCAAGGCCCCAGCAGCAAAATAAGCCCCCCAACTTGTGTCCTAAGGTTGAAGGTGCTGGGTCGTGGATGATAAAGAGGCTATGTCTACCCCTGGCCAGTGTGCACCTATCAAAATCAGGGGATGAAGGAAGCCTTCTGACCTAGGGAAATGAAAAAGGAAACCAAGAATTTGGGGATTAAATAGAGGAAGCTGGTTCTAAGCAATGGTCTTGATTAGAATACCAGCATGGTGCCTTTTAAAGGCCAGTAGGGGCATGATCCATGCCTACTTATTTTAAAGCTGCAAGAAAAAAATAAATTATCAAAGTGAGATTATACAGAGAAGAAAATAAACTACAATAAACTTATAAATTCTGGAGTGGGACTGAAAAAAGGAGAAGACACAACACTGATGCAGTGGAGAACATACACAACCATGGAAAACCTAAATTACAGCTTTCCACACCAGCAGACGCTAACAATATAGCTACAGCTAATACTTATGGGATGCTCACCTCCGTCCAGCATGGTGCAAAGCCCTTTATGTAGATAATCTCATTTCATTCTCACAACGACTCTAGGGAGGTGAGTGGTCACAATTCCCATTATGTGGCTGGAGAAGCCAGGTTACACAGGAATTAAGTAACTGGCGAAGTCCACTCCGACTATAAATGGCGGAGCTGGTCTTAGAACCCAGGCAGTCTGGCTGCAGGTTCCTTGCTCAAAACCATGGACCACAACATAGAAGAAATAGCCACAACAGAATTGAAGAATGCAGATCCATACCACATGACAAGGGGAATCAGGGGGAAGAGGAAAACAAAGGCGGTGATACTGAGATCTTAAAAGAGCAGTGATTTAAGACAACATTCTCCATTTGAAAGACATTCTCCATGTGGATATCAACAAATGGTTACAGAGTCAGGCTCAGGATTGAGGTCAAAGGCACTCATCAGGTTTCTAAACTTGAAATTCAAGAACAGATCCACCAGCTGTCCCCGAAGTTTAAAGACGAAATAACAAATAATAGAAATAATAGAAAATAATTATAGAAATAAGAGAATGCCATTCTGGTTTTTGCTCTTTGAAAAAGAAAAGGGTCTGGGAAGAACCTGCCCCAAATAAAGCCATATGCATCCCTCACAGCATGGATAGTATCTGACCAAGAAGACTATTTCCAAGATCAAATGGCCAAGCTAATTCCTCAGTGGGAAAGACAACTCTCAGAAATAGAGGATGTATTAGTTTATTTTCACGTTGCTGATAAAGACATATCAAGATTGGGTAATTTATAAAGAAAAAGAGGTTTAATGGACTCACAGTTCCATGTGGCTGGAGCAGCCTCACAATCATGGTGGGAGGTAAAAGGCACATCTTACATGGTCACAGATGGGAACCAAGCGAAAGGGGTTTCCCCTTATAAAACCATCAGAGCTCATAAGACTTATTCACTACCACGAGAACAGTATGGGTGAAACCATCCCCCATGATTCAGTTATCTCCCATGGGTCCCTCCCATAGCACATGAGAACTATGGGAGCCACAATTCAAGATGAGATTTGGGTAGGGACACAGCCAAACCATATCAGAGGAGGCCTAAGAGCAGCAAACATATGCCTGCCTTGCCTCGTGCCTGCCATGCCCAGTGGTATGCCAAGTGGGTCAGATTTCACCTTCATGATGTCTCTTTCACCATCTATTAATATATGTGTAATGCCCACCATGCCAGATTAGCTAAGGTCTCTAGGTGAATGTACCCAACCCACCCACATCACTTCCCAACATCATTCTGCTCAAGGTTCGCCTTCCCAAAGGGCGCCCAGAACGTAGATTTCTCCCCCTCAACAATTTCCAACCCTGTCTACCCCTCAAACAAGATATTTGTTACTACTGGACTGACAGGAGAATTTCTCCAAATCATTTATTACATAAAGGATCTCATTTATTCTAGAACGATGGCACTATTAACTAGGTTAGTCTCTGAGGTAAAGGCTTTAACTCCCAAAGCTGACAAAGACACCAGAAGGAAAGGATAGAGGAAGGAGAGGAGGGAAAGAGAGGAGGAGGAGGAGACAGGAGGGAAAAGGAGGAGAGAAAATGATGCATGAAAGGAGGATGCAGGGAGAAAGGAACAATGGGAGGAGATAGGGAACAGCGAGCTGGATAGTGGCTTATGTCTCTTATGAAAATACCAGGAAACACTGAAAATTTTAAATCATGAATAATCAGAGCTTGTCTTAGTCATATAAATCTAGTATAACTTTTTAAAAACTACTTTATAATGTATAGCAACAGGTGCTGTGGCTCACACCTGCAATCCTAGCACTTTAGGAGGTGAGGCGGGTGGATAACTTGAAGTCAGGAGTTCAAAACCAGCCTGGCCAACATGATGAAACCCCATCTCTACTAAAAACACACAAATTAGCCAGGTATGGTGGCACGTGCCTATAATCCCAGCTACCCAGGAGGCTGAGGCAGGAGAATCACTGGAACCTGGAAAGTGGAGGCAGCAGTGAGGGCCAAGATCATGCCACCGCACTCCAGCCTGGGCGACAGAGTGACTCAGTCTCAAAAAAAAAAAAAAAAAAGTATAGCATATGCAAAGATAGCTCTTAGATACACGTAATTGTTAAATATGTGCCAAAAGGAACCGAGTAAAATTCAGCATTAATTTTTAATTAATTTTCCCAAAAAAGGTGCAGATTTTCTGTCTTAACCTGGGGGAAAGGTTAAACATACTTATCAGTTTTATAGTCACTGGGGGGAAAAAACAACAATGTCCCATTGTCACCACCTCTATTTAACCTAGCTCTAGAAATTCCAGCAGATAACTATTCAAGAAAAAAAAAGTATAAAAATTGTGAAGAAAAAAATAGAAGTGTCAGTATTTCAAGATGACGTGGTTATAGTCCTAGAAAATTCAAGAAAATTAACCAGAGAATGACTTGCTCAAAATTGAGGGTATAAAATAATCCTCAAAAATCAATAACCTTTGCTTACACTAGTGCCAGACAGCACAAAGAAAAAAAATCCAGGAAAAAAATGCTATTTGAAATAGTAATACAAAACATTAAATATCTGCATATTCATTTCACTTAAGACACACATGACTTAGGGAAAGTTATAAAACTCTGTTAAGAGAAATAAGGAAAACCTGAATAGTGTGATGCTTTCTGCTCCAAGGGCAAATTTCTAACTTGCTCTGAGAGAAAGAGGAGGCAGAAGGAGAACTGAGAATTACAGGGAACATGGGATGAGCCCATGGGCTTAAAAGGTGCAGTTAAGAGCATAATCCTCGTTCAGGTGGTAGAGATGCAAACATGTCCAATGTAGACTTATAAATTAATCCAATATCATTAAGGTCTATTGGAACACTTTCTAGAGTGAGACAAGCACACAGTGAAATTTACTCAGAGGAATAAGGAATAACAGAGACTTCTTTTTTAAAAAGTGAGGGTGGGTCTGTCCTACTGGACTGCAAATTATAAAGCTGCAGTTATTGAACGTACGTGGAGCTGTATTAAAAGCAAGCATCCCTGGGCTGGTATATATTCCAGAAACAAAATTCAAGCTATTAAAGGAACGTAATAAATGACATATCAGGAGTAACACAAAAGTGGAAAAGAGAACTACTGTTAAATGCCAACTTAAATAAAAAATGATTTATTGCACTTTAGGTCCTGGTGACACAAAATAACTTTTAAACCAGGCAACAATTTATGCATTAAAACTATCTAATTTGTATTAAAAGTGAAAAATTTCCAGTTTACCTATAGAACAAACTTCTACATGTACCACTAGCCTAAAATAAAAGTTTAACAAAAGTGAAAATGAGATAGCATTCTTACTACTGAAGAGATAAAAAAGAGCAATGCCTTGAGAAATAAATAAATAGTAATATCAAAATACGACAAACATAATTGATGAAAGTTTTACTACTCAAAGTAGCACATGTAAAGAACTGATATAAATATATACAAAAAGCCCAGATGCTATTCATTAAGTGGGCCACAGAAGAATGGTCCACTTAGCCCAAAGGAAGTCTAAACGAGAAAAAAATACAGAAATGCACTATTCCTAGCCATTAAAGAAAAACAAGCCAAAGCAACTTTAAACTACCACTGAACACATTAAACTAAAATAAGTACAAATAGTAAAATTCAATGTTGACACAGTTCTATGGGAAAAAAATGTGAGTTGCTAATGGTAGATTTAGCGGAGGGTGGAGATGGCATCATGTCCCTTAAGCAGCAGCTAAATCTGACTCCTACATCCACGTGATGTCCTAGGAGGGAGCTGGGCTTCTGATGGGGGTGACACATGGCTGCTAGGAAACTAAGCCATAAGGCCCCCAGCCTTGGCAAACAGTGGCAGTCTCACTGCAGAGTTTGGCACAAAGACTGCAAAGAGTCTGGCACAAACGGAGAATAGGAAAACCACTAACTTTCAAATGGCCCACCAGGACTTGGGTGATGAGCTTCTTGCAGTGTCTATGTGGACTGAAGACCAGAGATCCTTCCCCAAAATTTCTGGTAACCCCTTGTAGCTTTGTTACAACCTTAGGGATACAAATCACCATCCCAAACACACAGTTACCATATAACCCATGAATTACACTTCTAAAAGTATACACCAAAGAGAAATGAAAACATCCATCCACACAAAAACTTGTACACGAGTGTTCACAGCGGCATTATTCCTAGCAGCCAAAAGAATCCATTCACTCATGAACGAGCAAATAAAGTAAAGCCCATCTATACAATTGAGTATTATCCAGCCATAAAAAGGAATGAAGTTCTGATACATGCTACAGCACGGCTGAGCCCTGCAAACCTTATACTAAGTGAAAGAAGCCAATCAAATAGGCAAATCCACAGAGATAGAAAGGAGATTGGCGGTTGCCTGGGGCTGAGAGAGTTGGAGGAAAAAGGAGAGTACAGGGTTTCTTTTGGGGAAGAGGAAAATGTTCTAAAATTGATTGTGGAAATGAACTTGTAATTTGAATATACTAAGTCACTGAATTACACACTTTAAACGGGTGAGCTGTATTGTATTTGGGTTATATCTCAACAAAGCTATTTTAAGCACGCGTGCACACACACACACACACACAATCATTAATATGAACCTCCCTCCAACTCTGATACATGGAGGCTTGAAGCCAAATTTAACTTGATTTAGGAAAACAAGCTAATAGGCTGTCTCTTACAGCTCAGTCTTTCAAAACAAGTTTCTGCGTGTTAAACATACCACAGTTTTTAAATGGAGACCCTAAGGAAAGCTCTGAGCCTCTCTTCTGCTACCTTGCTTGGTCCTGAGAGTCCTGCCTTTTCTTCTTTCTTTTCTTCCCTTTTAAAATCTGTTTCTCAATCAAAAATGTGCCCGGCATTGGCTCCTGTTTTCCCTCCCAACAATTCTGCTAAAAACGCACCCCTCAATTCAATTTCCAGACCTAGGGTGACGCTCTTAACAACAGAAAAGGTTTGAGAATCACAAGCTCTGTCTCTTTAATTCCAATATAACAGAAAGCCTTCTCTTATTCTCCGATGCCACTTTCATTTCAGATTTTCTAATTCAACTTTTAAATTTCCCACTGATTTTCCATTCTTGGCACTTCTTCCCCTTTCTCTTTGGCACAGCCACTTCAAGGGCCAGCTTGTCATCTGTGCAGCCCAGACCTCCTGCCCACTGTTGCCTTATATTTTGGTTGGCTATTCATTTTACCCTTTGCCAACCTCTTCTAACTTGGATGTCCCCCAGTTCCCTCCCTCGACAAACCATTTGTAAATTTCACATTCTGGCTTTTCTTCCTAACGCTGGCCAATCACAGATGAAGGAAGGCCAGGTGGCAGCTCCCAGGTGGCATGAGTGTCACTTGAATGCCCTCTGGCCTTGCCTCAGCCTCTCCTTGTTGCTACAAGTGCAGCTGAAGGCACCTAGCCCAGGAACCCCCAGCTCAGTCCAGCAAATCCATAGAAAGCTTCCACTTCCATGATCTCAGCTTTACCTCTTGTCTACCCTAACAAAGGCAAAGAGGATAAAAACATAATGAGCACTGGTGAAAAAATATCTGAAGATATGCAGATCTGTATATATCCCATATATGTCTTCATCTCCTTTGGATTCAAATTCTGGCTCTACCATTTACTAACTGAGTAACCTTAGGGGCAACATGCCCAAGTCTGAGCTTCCTCATTTGTGAAAATGAGGATAATAATAGCACCTGTGGCTGGGCATGGTGGCTGACACCTGTAATCCCAGCACTTTGGGAGGCCAAGGCAGGTGGATCACGAGGTCAAGAGATCGAGACCATCCTGGCCAACATGGTGAAAGGCAGAGGTTGCAGTGAGCCGAGATCGTGCCACTGCGCTCCAGCCTGGCCACAGAGCAAGACTCCGTCTAAAATCATAATAATAATAATTTAAAAAAATAATAGCACCTCCTCAGAAATATTTTGAGGATTAAATGAGATAGTTCAAGTGAAGGGCTTGAACTGTGACCACTCTATCTGTCCATATAAAGCAAAATCATGGCTTACTGTTTACATGAAGGACAACATAAAAATCAGATGGAAAAAAATGCTATTCCTATCTGTGACCAGCTCTTTAAAAGGACAGAAATGGAGAACTCCTCCCTTGTTGCTATGCAGCCTTCTGCAGGCGGAGCCCATCAGCTCTGAAATCCGCTCCATGTGGTTATAACAGCTCTGCAGAGCTTGAAAAAACCTCTTTCGCTCTGTTCCTCCCCCAACGGGTTCAGGCCAATCTGTGTTTTCCCCAAGACAAAACTGCAATCCCTGCAAGACATAGCTTTGCAGAAACCTTTGCCCGTCTGGGGGGCTTGCAAAGCCAGGCATGCTTGTCAGGCTAGAACAAAACTTGCCTCTGTGAGTTCTGTTAGCATGGCTTCTGCTGGCAGCTGCTGCTGCAGGACTGCAGGTGGTGGTGCAATCGATACCATGTCATCAGTGAGTTCAAGGTCAGGTGAATCTGCATACCACAGAAGACAATGATTTTAATGTCGCTAGGTTGGTTCCCCTGTCCTGCCCTTTTACTGTAGGGGAAGTAAATATCAGAGAAACACTCAAGCCTTTCCCTTTTATGTGACAAGCCAACACCCCCTCTGGCTGGACCATAAGCCTTCTGTCTAAATGTAGCTGGACCTCTTGTCTTACCTGTAGTTCACAGGTCTCCACCTATTTTAGTACAGCAGGTGCTCTGTGCCTCTGGGGCTGTTCCTTGGGTCTATGAACTTGGACAAAACGTAAGTGGTTTCCCACAGTGGTGTGTGTGTGTGTGTGTGTATGCATCTGTGCATTCAGCAGACATTTATTAAGCACCATGGTAGATCAGACACTGTGCTGGGTGACAGAAACATAAAGACAAATTATACAGTCCTTCGAGGAGCTCACAGTTCTAGGAAGTGAGGGTGGGAGCAAGTAACTGACAATCCCAAGAGGGGAGGATGTGCTCAGACAAAGCCATCTAAAGAGATCACCCAATATGAGCACTTTGACCAGCACCCAGTGATTCCCAAAGCAAATGGCACCTTAACAAGGCTGGAAAAGTGAGCAAGAGTTAACCGAAGAGAACCACATGCAAAGGGGGGTAGTGTCGTGTGTGTGTGTGTGTGTGTGTTTGTGTGTGTGTGCGTGCACCTGCGTGGCACTCCACCACAGATTATTCATCACAGTGCCTTTCTAAAAACCCTACATTAAATATCTTACATCTTGAAATTTATTGTGTTCCATCCCATTGGGCAGAAGGTCAGAGAGAACATTTCTGTGAGTCATACCTCACTGGATTTCTACATCTTGTTAAGCGTTCACTTTTTCTGAAGTATCAGAGACAGACTTCTCAGCTCCCCACCCAGTGTTCCAAAAGTGGTGGGGGGCATTCTACCCAGGTAGAAACACCTCCTCCTCCTCGGGCTCAGGCCACACCAAGAAGGCTCCAGGGAGACTCCTCTGGAGAAGCAGGCTGACTTAGCTCTATTCTTAACTGACACAGCTCTGCTACTACTGAATAACAACCTTCTTGCATAGATACTGAAGTGTTACTGCCTTTGGCCTGATCAAGCACTGACCATGAGTTGCCAGAACTTCAGTCTGGGGGTCAGCCCTCTAGGCTCCAGTTTACTGGCTTGATTCATTCATTCACTCAATCACTTATTTGTTGAACTCCCAACTGTGCCTAATACTCTTACAGGTGCCAGAGATACAGAACCAAACAAAACGCACAAAGCCTACATTCTAATGAAAGAGACATACAATAGACATTAGTAAATAAACGAGAGATGTTCAAGTAGGAATAGGTTTTGTGAAAAAGCAAAGATAAGACAGGGTAACGTGTTTCAGTGTGACGTTAGGAGAGTTTATTTGTAATAGGGTGCACATTTTTGTGCCCCTCTAAGGGGACAACTGAGCTGAGACCTGAATGATGAGCAGGAGCTGGGAGGTTGGGGGCAATGCGCTTGGAAGAAGGAACTGCAAGGTTCTGAAAGAATGGTGAGCTTGAGAATTCCAGGGATAGCAGCTGAAGTGTAGGAGCTACGAAGAGAGGTGAGAGAGGCCAGGACAGGTAGGTGCCAGTAGGCTACTGTATGGAGTTCAGACTTTAAGTACAATGGGAATCCTTTGAAGAGTTTTAAGCAAAATGGTGACACTATCTGACCTTTGTTGTTTAAAGACTGCTGTATCAAAACTGCTCTGGATTCTGGGCGTCTAGCATCTACTAGTTCCTCCTCTTCTTGGATAACCTCTTTGAATTTGACCCGTGGCTTATAAGCTTGAGGCTTCTCTAGTTCAACATCTGGCACCAGCCTCTGGGCTGACCACAGAGAGAGATGGAGGTGAGCTTCGCCAATGAGCACACACCCCCATTCATTCATCTCGATGTCTTATTCCCTAATCAGCATGGCCTATGCACTCATTAGCCAAGTCCCTGATTACAGAGTAAACTTGTCTTTCAACAAAACTGCAGATTCTTGTTCCCTTCAAAGCTGCCTTGGCAGTTTGCCAATTTCAGCACAGTAATAGATTTCCTGAGAAGCATTCAAACTTGCCGTCTCTCCCACGGGCTATTGCCCAGACCAGTTGTGTGGAGTTTCCAGGTTTTAAAAGATCATGTGTGTGATCTACAGCCAAGCTTCTCAAGCAGGGATGGGCACATGTGAGGGTTTACTGAAGGATACTAATGTGACCAGGCCCACCCCAGATTTAATGAATCCCAACCTGGGGGGAGTTGGGTGGGGGGCAGGCGGGAGAGAGACTATATTTTTGTTTGTTTTAATTTTTGAGATGGAGTCTCAGTCTCACTCTGTCACCCAGGCTGAAGTACAGTGGCACAATCACAGTTCACTGCAGCCTTGATCTCCTGAGCTCAAGTGATCCTCCTGCCTCAGCCTTCTGAGCAGCTGGGACCATAGATGTGCACCACGTCTAGCTAATTTTTTTTTTTTTTTGAGAGAGCGAGATGAGGGTCTTGCTATATTGCCCAGAATGGTGTCAAACTCCTGGGCTCAAGTGATCCTCCTGCCTCTGCCTCCTAAGGTGCTGGGATTACAGGCATGAGCCGCTGCACCTGGCCTTTTTTTTTTTTAAAGAGACAGGATCTCACTCTGTCACCTGACTGGAGTACACTGGCATGATTATAGCTTACTATAACCTCGAACTCCTGGGCTCAAACGATCCTCCCACCTCAGATTTCCAAAGCCCTGGGATTATAGACGTGAGCCACTATGCCTGGCCAAAAACATATTTTTTGAAAAGTTCATTAGTCAAATCTGATATGCACTTTTGTTTAAGAGCCATTAAACGGAGAAGAAACAGGCTATATTTACAAGCTCACCACTGCAAATTCTTTTCTAGAACAAGGCTAAGTAAAAAATGAATAAATATGCATCCATACACTAGCAGCCACAGTACCAGAAGAGGCAAAACTACCTCCAGCTTCTATGAATCAGGGCTCCATAAGAAAGAAAAGACGAGGTGAGGAATTGGGTGTTAGGGGCATATACAGCTCTGGCCCCCTCTGCTCAGAAAGTCATTGCAGGAGAATGAGAAGCTCCCTCTTTTGCACACTCGCTGCTTTAAATGTTCACAGCTCCGCAGCAGCAACCAGCAAACCCACACACCCAGAGTTCTCAACACCATATTCCCTGAAGATACATATTCTGCAAGGCTTTCAATTCCCTTGGATATTCCCGTGTGAGTTTAAAATATTGCAGCCCTCCTTAATTAACAAAAAAAGTCTATAACACCAAATAATTAGAATTCCTCCACCATTCCTCACGCTGGAGTGTTTATGAAGATGACAGGCCCTCGCCTGGAAAAAGCAGAACCAAAATAAACTGAGCAGCAATTAGGCTGCAGCCATTTCGTTTGGCAGGTGTTTATTGGGTACCTACTGGGTGCCAGTTTCTATGCAGTACTCTTTGCTGATGCCATTTCATTTAATCCTCCAACCCACTTCCCAAAGTGGCTATTATCATTATCTCTCTTTTACAAATGAGGAAGTTAGGAGCCCAAGGGGCAGTTAAAGGGCTTCCCCAAGGCATAGCATTAGTGCCAGGATAGAGAGTTGAACCCAGGCTTGAGTCTAAAGTGGGTGCTCTTTCTCTCAGTCTCTTAGAATCGCATATTGTCAGGCATTGTCACACATGTGATTCTAAGACAGCGAGAGAAAGAGCTCTGTGGAACTTAAAGATGAATTGGCCTTGCATCCCTGCCCTCAAGTTGCTCACAGAAGAGCAACGAGCAAGGGAAAGGTTATATAACTAAAGTGTACGACTGAATGTGATCAATGCTGCATAATGAAAGATATGAGCTCTGGAATCACGGAGGTGGGGCAAAGTAAGTCCAATTCAGGGCAAATTTAAGGCTTCACAAGCCAGATGACATCTGATATAGTTTGGGTGTTTGTCCCCTGTAAATCTCATGTTGAAATGTAATTTTCGATGTTGGAGGTGGGGCCTGGTGGGAGGTGTTTTGGTCATGGCAGAGGATCACTCATGAATGGCTTGGTGCCCTCCATATGGTAATGAGTGAATTCTAGCTCTGAGTGCAGGAGACAGCTGGTTGTTTAAAGAGCCTGCCACCTTCTCCCTCTCTCTCTTGCTCCTACTCTTTCCATGTGAGATGCTGGTGCACTTTCCCTTCCTCCATGATAGAAGGCTTCTTGAGGCCCTCACCAGAAGCAGATGCTGGAGCCATGCTTGTACAGCCCGCAGAACCAAGAGCCAATCAAACCTCTTTTCCTTATAAATTATTCCACCTCAGGTATCCCTTTATAGTAACACAAAAACAGATTTTTTTTAATCTGTTTTTAAAATACAGCATCTTAGGACTTCCCAGAAGGGAGTAGGATTTGACCAGTGGAGAAGATAGGAAAGGTTATTCTAGATAAAGGATATAAAATTAGCCAAGAGGGGAGAATGAGGAAAATGGTCAGGGAATGGGGACTAATCTAATATGACTCGAAGGGAACGTGCATATGAGACCAAATGGTGGAGAGCCTTTGAATGCCATGCTCGGAAGCGGAGAACACAGTCTTTAGGCAAAGGACACTATAGTAGGCTGCTTGGCAAAGGAATGAGATTATAAGACAGGGCCTTTGAGAAGGTAACTATAATTAGGCCACTTTAAACTGCTGATAGTTCCTCTCACCAATGAGCCTTCACGCGTGTCTTTCTCTCTTCCTCCTTTCAATGTCCTGACAACTCCTATGCAACCTCTAAGACTTGTCTTGGACATCACCTCCTCCAGGAAGTATCCCCTGTTCGCCCAAGATTGGGTCAGATGCCCCTCCTAGGTGCTTCTTCAGCACCTGGGTTTGACCCTACAGTACTTAATACTCTACATTAAAATTTCCACTTGCCTCCTCCTTTCCCACTAGACGGAAGCTCTTTGAAGGTAGGGACTATGGTTATTCATCTTTAATTTCCCCAAATCCCTGATTTTGGGGGTACCCTAATAGCCATTCAATAACTATTTGATGGATTAACATGAACAAGCATCAGAAAAGCCCCAAACAGACACTACAGCCACAGCCATCCAAGTCTGAAGTACAGACACAATTTGATTTATTTGTTCTTTCACTCTTCCAACAAATGTTTCTTGTGACCCTATTTGAGACCCTGCACTGGGCTCTGGGTTTGGTCACTACAGGGTGGCTGCCTTCAAAGCAGCCCCTACTCATGTTCCTGGTCACACATTGGAAGCTGGAGCACCAAGTCCAGAGAAAGCCCTGTTTCTCAAACTGGAAACAGCCTGGAGGTAAGTAGAAGCATGGTAGGAAATGAGGGAAGCTGCAGCAACTAGTAAGGTGAATCTCTCCAAAGTACTGATTTTACTTATTAGATTTTGCAGCATGAGAAACATGGATATAATACGGACTGTGGTGCAGAATGTGCACAATTTTAAGATAAAAAATGAGACCTGAAAGAAATTTTTGACATGCAGTCAGCAACTATTTCAGGCTATACCTACTGACTTCTCCAGTCTGAGATCCTTCTCTGTTCTTGGGCTCCTGAACAGAGACAGGAGCCTCTGTAACAGAAAGTCCTGGCTGTCTTCCCAAATGACTTTCTCGCTTAGTATTAGAACACTCCAATATTAGCTAGGTATGTGGCCCCTGGAATTATAGTTCCTGGTCTCCCTTGTACAGCCATATGGCTAGGTTTTGTTCAATTAATGTAGGCAGGAGGTTACTCCCAGGAAGTGTCCTTAAAAGGAAGAGGGCCAGACTCAGTGGCTCACACATGTTATCCTAGTGTTTTGGGAGGCCGAAATGGGAGGATCTCTTGAGGCCAGGAGTTTGAGACCAACCTGGGCAACATAATGAGACCCTGTTTCTACAACCAAAAAAAAAAAAAAAAAAAAAAGCCAGGCATGAGGCATGTGCCTGTAGTCCTAGCTACTTGGAAGGCTGAGGCAGGAGGATGGCTTGAGCCCAGGAGTTCACTGCACTGTACTCAAGTCTAGGTAACGCAGCAAGGTCCTGAAGAAAGAAAAGAAAAGAAGGAGAAAGAAAGAGAGAGAAAGGAAAAAAAGGAAAGGAAGGAAGAAAGAGGCACCAACAGGAATGTGGAGATGATGCATAAAGTTTAAGAAGCCACTTTGGCTCATTCTGAGGCAACACTCAGAACAACAGAGCAACAGGATAAAAGGAGTCTGCATCTCCGGTAAGCCCAACTCCAGCCTTTTTACTCAGAGAATAAAACCTTCTATGCTTAAGCCATTGTCTGCTTACTTCCATGAGACTGTTCATAAGGTTCTGATAAAGAAACCAAGGGCTCAGAGACTCGCAGAATGTACAACCCAGGATGGACCTCAGAAACCTGGCTCTGTTCCTGCCTGCAGAGTCCATGCCAGATCTGCACCTACCTGGCAAATTCCCTGATAGGGCTAACAGATTTTGCTGTGAGTCAACATGTGAAAGCAGTTGGAGAGATGTTTTCTCTCTTAGCAGGAGGGAAGGAGACTCCTTCTAGGGAGAGACCTTAGAGAAAACCTCCACTGTTGGGTAAAGGCTCTGATGAGCTCATTAGGCTAGAAGTTGTTTTCTTCAAAACCTGAATGAGACTTCTAAGAAGGAATAAAGCTGTTCTGAGTAACTGAGCATCAACAATTGGAGATAGGAATAGGGAGATCTGGAATGAAGAGAATGAGGAGAGAGAGAAGAAGGGATGATTAAGATGGAAGAATGCTATGCCCTACATGATTACTCCAAGTGACCCCTTAATCTTCATAAAGTTTACCAATGTTGCAAAATGCTTAGCATGACTGCATGACTTAGAGAACTAATGAAGTGGCTAAGTTTACCATCAAGGGTGACATGGGGCAAGAACTCAAGAGGGCACACCCAGAAGCAGGTGCTAGAGACAGGGAAGATGCTGGGCTGGGATCAAAAGTCTGAGAATGTTGAAAAAAAAAAAAAAAGGTTCTGAGATGGGCCTTTGGCTTCCCTGGGCCATAAAAAGTTGAGGGGCAGTAATGGTAGTGGTGTTCAAAAAGATTTCACTATGAATGCAAGAAACTTAGCCAGGTGCAGCGGCATGCGTGTAGTCCCAGCTACTCATGAGGCTGAGGCAGGAGGATCCCTTGAGCCCAGGAGTTTGAAACCAGCCTGGGCAACATAGCAAAATTTAGTCTCTTAAAAAAAATGCAAGAAACTTATGGAAACACCTAACAAATCACTAAATCACACTGTAGCAGTACTCTGCCCATTCACCAACACTGCCTACTTCCTCCTGCAGCCAGAATCCTGAGTGGAAGTGGCACACTAGCATTAAAAGCTTCTCTCTCAAGGACACAGAATAACCAAAACAAAGCCAAAGAAGAAAACAAAACAAAGAAGAAAAAAGTCAGAAAACTCTAACTTCCTGGATTTTAAAACTTACTACAGGCCTGAGCACAGTGGCTCATTCCTATAATCCCAGTATTTTCGGAGGCCAAGGCGGGTGGATTGGCAGGTGGATTGCTTGAACTCAAGAGTTCAAGACCAGCCTTGGCAACATGGTGAAACCCCCATCTCTACCAAAAAACAAACACACACAAAAATATTAGCTGCGTGAGGTGGCATGTGCCTGTAGTCCCAGCTACTCTGTAGGGTGAGGAGGGAGAGGTGAAGGCTGCAGTAAGCCATGATCACACCACTGCACTTCTGCTTGGGCAAAAGAGTGAGACCCTGTCTGAAAAAAAAAGCCAAAACCAAACAAACAAACACTTACTATAAAGCTACAATACACTATACTACAGTGTGGCAGTGGCATAAAGATGGACATATGAGATCAATGTAATAGAACTGAGAGTCCAAAAGTAAACCCTTACATTTACGGTCAATTGATTTTCAACAAGAACACCAAGACAATTCAATGAGAAAAGAAGGGTCTTTTCAATGAATGGTGCTGGGACAATTGATACCCACATGTAAAACAACAAAATTGGACCCTACCTCACACCATATACAAAAATCAATTTAAAATGCATCATGAACCTAAATGTAAGAGCTAAAACTACAAAACTCTTTGAAGAAAACATAGGAGTAAATTCTCATGACCTTAGATTAGGCAACAGTTCCTTAGATATGACACCAAAAGTACAAGCAACAAAAGAAAAAAAAATAGATAAATTGAACTTCATAAAATTTAAAACATTTTGCCTTCAAGTGCACTATCAAGAAAGTAAAACCCACAGAATGGAAGAAAATATTTGCAAACCAAATGTCTGATAAGACGCTTGTATCTAGAATATATAAAGAGCTCTTACAGTTAAGCAATGAAAAGACAAATAATCCAATTTTTGTAATGGCCAAAGGATTTGAACAGACATTTCTCCAAAGAAGACATAAAAACAGTCATTACGCATATGAAAAGATGTTCCACATCATTAGCCATTAGGGAAATACAAATCAAAACCAAAATGAGCTACACTTCACATCTACTAAGATGGTTGAAATAAAAAAGACACAATAACAAGTGTTGACAAGGATGTGGAGAAATCAGAATCCTCATACATTGCCGGCAAGATTCTAAAATGGTGCAGCCTCTTTGCAAAACAGTTTGGTAGTTCCTCAAATGATTCAACATAGTTATCATATGATCCAGCAATTCCATTCCTAGGTATATACCTAAGAGAACCAAAAACGTATGTCCACACAAGAATTTGTACATGAACATTCATCACAGCATTATTCACAAAAGCCAAAAAGTGGAAAAAATTCACATGTTCATCACCTGATGAATAAACAAGATGACACATTATATTCATAGTATTCAGCAATAAAAAGGAGTAAAGTACTGATATTTGTTAAAATAAAGATAAACCTGGAAAACATCATGCCATGTAAAAGAAGCTACACATAAAAGGCCACATACTATATGATTCCATAAATATAAAATGTCCAGAATGGGCCAATCCACAGAGACAGAAGGTAGATTGCGTAGGACTGGGAGGAAGGAGCAATGGGACTGACTAATAGATAACGGGGTTTGTTTGGGGGTGATAAAATATTTTAAAATTAGATCGTGGTGATAGTTGTACAACTCTGCACATACACTAAAAACCACTGAATTGTACACTTTAAACAGGTGAATTTAATGATATACAAATTATATGTCAATAAAGTCATGAAAGAAACAAAAACCAACAAGCAAGCAAACCCTCCAAGTGGGGCCCACTTCAGCCCAGAGCCAACGAAGTCCTGAGTCCATTATTGTACCCTCTTTCAACATTTACTTTTTCTACCTTCCTGGGGACATTTTTGAAACTATTTGTTGATGTTTCTATAACATAAAAAAAATAATAAGCTCAGTATCTTCATTCCTCCCAGGGCTAGGGAGCAATAAAGTATACTCACAAAAATTACAATAGCATGGAGGCCAGAGTTATGATTCTGGAGCGCCGTATTATAGCTGAGAAGAGTTCGTTATGATATGTATTTTCAAAGCAGTGCTGAGAATGCTAATCAACATTCACTAAGTTTAATCTTCTCACTCTTTTATAAATAAGGAACATCACTCACCAGTACATAAAAGAGGATCAACCAACAGGAAGGGATACAGGATCAGTACAACAATAGAAGATAAGGGCACTGTCAATACAGCATCATTCCAGATGATTCGACAGTGATAGACCTGCAGTCGCAGGTGTGTCCTGGCTCAGAAATGACACAGGTATGTCCCAGCAGGTGCCACACTAGGTGTTGACTGGGTGACTCTGTAACACTCCTTGCTAGGACTTAGTATTTCTCTGTAATTACAGTGAATTGAAACTAATTTGTTTTTGATAATTTTTTTTCAAAACTTTGTGACACCCTTAGAGATAACTGGAGCTGCTCTGGAGCGTCAAATGCTACAGAGAAACTTTGGTGCCATGGAAACTACTGACAGGAGAAAAATATGAAAATGTATACCCTTGTGAAACTTCCCAACATGCTAAAATCAGCAGTTCCCTTTGAAGAGCCGAGTGTAATACTTGCCAATCGATTTGTTTTAGGATCCAAATGGCTTTGCTCAAACTGCTATCGCCCCACTGGGCAAAAAAAGCTTTGGCACTTAAAAAATGATTAAAAACTCCCAGCTATTTATAATGATGGAGAAATGTCACAGGGAATTAAATGTTTTGTCAGGGGAAAAATGTGGCTGTCTGGAAAAGGCTGTAGATACATGCAGGGAATTAATGACAGGGTGGCTGCAAACACTCAATGCCCTACTCCAAGGAGCTCAAAAGACAAGATTTTTGTTGGTTTGTTTTGGGTGTTCTTTTTCTCTTTCTTTTTTAACTGCAGAGTTTTTCACCTTCTTATTCACCAGAACTCCAGGATGGTATGAAACGAGCAAGCCAGACTTCCAGGATGGTACACTTGCTCACTGCAGGGTGTCACCATTACTTTTCCTCTGCACTCTCAAAATAAAGCCATCCTCTATCAGCTCACAGATTTTCCCTAATGCTGATCTAGAAACAAAAATGGAATCTACTATATACTGCCCAGGCAGAGAAAGCGGTGAAGATAAAACACAAATGGGAACACTGTTCTTGGGATCTGGTGTTTGGGATTCTGCCACGTGTCCAAATAACCAGGGTAGCTATGGCAAACTCCTCAACTGGCAACCAGTCATTCACCAAGGGCCTTACCAACCTCTCCTTCTCCTATGTGGAACTTCTACACCAACCAAGCAAATCACCCCTATGTCCCTCTTCAAACTCTAGGTTGAAACTTTCCATCTGCCCAATGGTCACTCTCTCTGCTGGATGTGCTTTTTTGATAGAAATCTTTCCACTGTTTCATTAGTATGTGTGTGCTTGTGTTCTGTTTCCTACTTGTTAATCACAACATGCCTTATTATGGAACAAAACAGACTGACATTCTCATCTCCATACATTGTAGACTGCCTTTCCCACCCCTCACCTCTTTCTCTACTGGCTGCTGCTTCTCCAAATTTTCAAGCAGCACTCTTATACATCTTTACATGTCAAGTGCAGGTCAATCAACTTCGTTATGAAAAGAAAATAAGAAAAAAGTTAACCATATTTTTCTTATTATACTTTAAGTTCTAGGGTACATGTGCACAACATGCAGCCTTGTTACATAAGTATACGTGTGCCAGGTTGGTTTGCTGCACCCATCAACTCATCATTTACATTAGGTATTTCTCCTAACACTATCCCTGCCCCAACCCCCCACCCCCCAACAGGCCCCAGTGTGTGATGTTCCCCCTCCCGGTGTCCATGTGTTCTCATTGTTCAACTCCCACTTATGAGTGAGAACATGTGGTGTTTGGTTTTCTGCCCTTGTGATATTTTGCTGAGAATGATGGTTTCCAGCTTCATCCATGTCCCTGTAAAGGACATGAACTCATACTTTTTTATGGCTGCATAGTATTCCATAGTGTATATGTGCCACATTTTCTTTATCCAGTCTATTATTGATGGACATTTGGGTTGGTTCCAAGTCTTTGCTATTGTGAACAGTGTCGCAATAAGCATATGTGTGCATGTGTCTTTACAGTAGCATGATTTATAAACCTTTGGGTATATAGCCAGCAATAGGATTGCTGGGTCAAATGGTATTTCTAGTTCTAGACCCTTGAGGAATCACCACACTGTCTTCCACAATGGTTGAACTAGTTTACACTCCCACCAACAGTGTAAAAGCATTCCTGTTTCTCCACATCCTCTCCAGCGTCTGTTATTTCCTGACTTTTTAATGATCGCCATTCTAACTGGCGTGAGACGGTATCTCATTGTGGTTTTGATTTGCATTTCTCTGATGACCAGTAATGATGAGCATTTTCTCATATGTCTGTTGGCTGCATAAATGTCTTTTTTTGAGAAGTGTCTGTTCATATCCTTTGCCCACTTTTTGATGGGGTTGTTTTTATCTTGTAAACTCGTTTAAGTTCTTTGTAGATTCTGGATATGAGCCCTTTGTCAGATGGATAGATTGCAAAAATTTTCTCCCATTCTGTAGGTTGCCTGTTCACTCTGATGATACTTTCTTTTGCTGTGCAGAAGTTCTTTAGTTTAATTAGATGTCATTTATTTGGAGAAGCAGCAGCTGGTAGAGAAAGAGGTGAGGGGTGGGAAAAGCAGTCTACAATGTATGGAGATGAGAATGTCAGTCTGTTTTGTTCTATAATAAGGCATGTTGTGATTAACAAGTAGGCTTTTGTTTTTTGGCTTTGTTGCCATTGCTTTTGGCGTTTTAGTCATGAAGTCCTTGTCCATGCCTATGTCCTGAATGGTATTGCCTAGGTTTTCTTCTAGGGTTTTTATGGTTTTAGGTCTTACATTTAAGTCTTTAATCCATCTTGAGTTAATTTTTGTGTAAGGTGTAAGGAAGGGATCCAGTTTCAGCTTTCTACATATGGCTAGCCAGTTTTCCCGGCACAATCTATTAAATAGGGAATCCTTTCTCCATTGCTTGTTTTTGTCAGGTTTGTCGAAGATCCGATGGTTGTAGATATGTGGTGTTATTTCTGAGGCCTCTGTTCTGTTCCATTAGTTAACCATACTTTTCAACGCACACTTGTACAAAAGCATAAACAGTTCCTATTTTCTTCATATTGGCATATAAATTTATGATCCACCCACTCAATGAATAACAAAGTTAAGCCCCTGCCCATAAGGCCAAGAGAGGAGACAGGCAGATCTACAGGAGGCTGTAAAACTGTGTGATAAGTGTTCCAACTGGGTCATGCATGCAGGATGAGAACCCTCAGTGGAGCCCCTGAGCAAGGCTCTGGGGTCAGAGAATATTTCCCATAAGAGGTGACGGTGAAGGAAGACAAGAAGGTCCCCTGGGGCCGGGCACGGTGGCTCATACCTGTAATCCCACCACTTTAGGAGGCCGAGGCAGATGGATCACTTGAGATCAGGAGTTTGAGAGTAGCCTGGCTAACATGGTGAACCCCGTCTCCACTAAAAATACAAAATAGCAAGGCATGGTGGCGTGAGCCTACAATCCCCAGCTACTTGGGAGGCTGAGGCAGGAGAATCACTTGAGCCTGGGAGGCGGAGGTTGCAGTGAGCCAAGATCGTGCCACTGCACTCCAGCCTGGGTGGCAGAGTGAGACTCTGTCTCAAAAAAAAAAAAAAAAAAAAAAAAAAAGAAGAAGGTCCCATGCGAGTTGAATGTGGAGTGGAGGAAGGATGTTTCAGCAGAGAGAACCCCTGGACAAAGGGCCAGAGCTCAGAGACCCAAGGCATGTTCTTAGATTCCTTACATTTGCACGAAGTTCAATCTAGCTGGATCAGACTTGGGGTTCGGAGAAGATGCAGGGCTAAAAAAAATCTGAATGGAAATTCCATACAGCTGAATCAAGCACAAGGAGGTGGGGGAAGACACAGGGTGATCAAGAAAGAGCTAGTAAGCCTTGCTAAGAGGTCTGGACTTGATCCTGGAACCATGGAGAGCCCTCAAAGAGTTTTAAGCAGGAAAATGATTTGAACAGATGTGGATCTAGAAACACCACACTGGCTGTGGTATGGAGAGGGAATTTAAGGAGACATGGCAGGGACAGGGACATAGGAATGCTAACTTATTTGAGCAGGCAAATAAATATTAATGTTACTCAGAGAAAAAAATTCAGAGGCCCCAGCTAGCTTGTACAAATGCGTGTGTGGGGGGGGGCATGCGCGCACGCACACACACACACACACACACACACACACACACACACATGCACACACAGCTCTGCAGGCATTTGGGCCTATGATGCGTGACTGTTGGCTTATCTGCATTCTCCACTAGGATATAAGCGAGAGACTCAAGTCTTACTCATCTTTCTATCTTAGGGGCTCAGTGTAGGTAGGACCTGACACAGAGCAACCAAGGGACAAGGGTTTGCTGATTGATTGAATGAATGATTGAGTCCCTGAAAGAATGGATGGAAGTTATAAATTAACAAATGACATAGAACGAGGACTTTGGGAAGTATTCATGAAAAAATTATGATCTTTGGAACCAGGCTGGATTTCATTTAAATCACAGATCTAGCTTTTACTGACTGTGTGATACTGAACATGTTACTTAACCACTTTAAGACTGTTTCCTCACTTGTGAAAAGGAGATAATAATATCTGCTCACAGTGTTATCATAGGATCAAATGAGATAATGTGTGTCAGCTATCAATTAAGGGTCTGGCATACAGGGTAAGCACTAAACAAACATCTCTCTGCCCCCTTCCATTTTATGTGGCCCCTGCCAACCTGGTACCAGCAGGGTGCTCCAGAAATACAGCACGAGGGAAAAACTATGGAAACAGAGATTCTAGAACTGCACCTAAGGCAAAGTGGAAAACAACTTTTTAAAAATTCATTGTTAATAATGGGCAGAATTGGCTCATCCTCATTCCAGCAGCTACTGAGCCACTAAATAGCAGGAGTTTAAAATAATTGTTCAGAGAGCAAAGAAGTTAAAGCATGTAGGAAAGACATCATAGAGAGTAAGTTAAAATGACATAAGGCAGTCTCTCCTAATCATGCTCAGCTGAGTAGAAAGAGGTTTAGATTATCTGTGATCCACAACTATCAGCCAGAAAAATAATCCTTTATTTCAAGCCACTTTTTCAGTAGTGTCCTTGGGATTTGCCTCAACAACAGAGAATCATCATTTATTTTTCCTTGGTACAAGAACATGTGGGTATGGGCTTGGTCTCTCACCCAAGACGTTGGTATTTATTATTAATTTTTATTATTCTGGATGGTTTCAACTGGTGGTCGTCATAACTAATGTGTCTTTCAACACTACTTTTTTTTTTCAATTCATTTACACTGGCTTGCAAAAGAGACTAACAAAACTAAATAAAATTAAAATAAAAAAGGAAGAATAGTTAAGAGAAGGAAAGCAGATGAGTCAACAATAAGGATGACTATGCTTCCTGGGATTGAGTGTGAAAAAAGAAGGCAAGGACACTCACGTGCTAAGTGACGTGTATATGGTACTGCATGTAGCTCTCACAGTAACCCAAACGAGGCAAATATCATATTTACATAAGTAGAAAGTACCATTAAGGAAGAAAAAGCTGGCTGAGCATGGTGGCTCATGCAGGTAATCCCAGTACTTTGGCAGGCTGAGGTGGGAGGATTACTTGAGCCCGGGAGTTCAAGACCAGCCTGGCCAACACGGTGAACCCCGTCTCTACAAAAAATAGAAAAAGAATTAGCCAGGCATGGTGGCGCACACCTGGAGTCCTGGCTACTCGGGAGGCAGAGGTGGGAGGAATCACTTAAGTTGAAGCTGCAGTAAACTATGATTATGCCATTGCACTCTAGCCTGAGCAACAGAGGAAGACCGTACCAAAAAAAGAGAGAGAGAGAAAGCTGCCGTTGAACAATGGCAAAACACTTTGATTTCGGAGATGTTAAAATAAAAAAAAAAAATGTGCAGCTAAGAATCAAGGAAACATGATATTATCATTTCCAACTTATATGTAAGGAAACTGGAAAACAGGGAAGTTAAGAAATTTGCTGAAAGTCACTGGTCCATGAGTGGAACAATCAAGTTTTGAACCCAAACAATTTGGCAGCAAAGAGCTCCAGCCCCTAATCATTGAATATGCTGTTTCCCTAGGGCCAAGCTTCCCGGCAGTGACAGTAAAGATGGACATAGATTGATAATAAAGATAGACACAGGTTGAATTACATAATTCTCATTATTTGGGAAAGAAACACACTAGCTACTCAAGGAACCTAAACTTTTATCTGCACAAAACTAAAAGGAAAATTTTTTTACAGATATTGCATAATGGGTATGTTGCAGATGATTTTGTTGAAACCTTCAAAAACATTTAGAAGGTTAATATATAAAAATAGCCTAATGAAGACCATTTTCCATGGCTAAGTTCATGTAGTCCATGAATGTAACCTTTTCATGGTCTACCCATGATGAAGACTCATGGATGAAAGTAAACATATCCAGAGAAGTAGGGAATATGCTCCTTAAATTATCTTCCCTACATAGCATTGTTCTCCATCTACTTTTTACTGGAAACTGGTTCATTAGACAGCTCAGGGTACTACTCTCCAGCAAAGAACTCTGCTGATCAATAAACTCTGTCCATATAGTGATCCGCTTACGGATTAAAAATTGGCTAGACACTAAATGATTCACACTCTCTTTGGAAGTCAGCATATACCTTCCTCTCCTCTAGAAAGAATCTCCACAATTTTGACTACAGCATGGGAGAGGCCTAGCATTCACAAACCAGCAACAGATACTTTCTTCAGCACTGTGTCCTGATGAGGCATATAGCCCTGGGGTTGATTGCCTAAGCCCTAAAACCAGCTCTAATCCTCACTAGCTGGGTGATCCTAGACAAGCTATCTCTCGATGCCTCAATTTCTACATCTGCAAAATAAGGAGCATAATGATATACACCTCCCAGGGCTGCTGTAAAAACATAATGAGCCAAACCACATAAAAGACTCAGTATGTCTGGCACATGGTGAGCACTCTGTAAATGTTGGCTGATTTTATTATTTAGGTAGATTTTTTTAACCAGATGATTAATTTAGCAATAGCAACATACAGGTCCTTTGGGAGAAAAGGCTGCACAGGTGTGAATCACTTTGCTATTCAGGCATGAAGAAGAATGAAATGCCTGGGGACAAATGACAGTGACAAGGTACAGCCAACACCTGCAAGATCCCAGTTCAGTGATCCTGGATGCCTTCATGCTGAGGGAGGCAGTCTGGCATGTGGGGAGAACCAAACTTCAGAGTCAGGCATTTTCTCGAATCCCAGCTCAGCACTCACCTGTGGAGCAGGCTGGTTAACCTCTGTGTCCCCGGTTTATAAAATGAGGATGATAGCAGCTACCATGCGGTGCTGCTGTAACAGCTGAGAGTGAGATGGGTTAAGTGCCTGGTACGTGGTAGATGCACAATACATAATAGATACCATTACGCCAGCCTATCAAATTGCACTTAAATATCATTTTTTCCTTTTTATTGAAAGGGTGGTCTATAAAAATATTTTTTTTTGTTACAAAGAAAAAAAAAGAAGTCCATTTCTTAGGAAAACATAAAGTAGAACCGGTTATTCTTTAGGGAAAGAGAATTACATATATATAAACCAACCCCCCAATTCAATTTTAATGCTTTTTACCTATTTTCAAATACCTCAGCAAAGCAATTTTACTGCAGAATAATTAGAAAATACAGATAAATAAAAAGAAGAAAATGAGTCTACCATAATCCCACCATGCAGAGATAACCATACATGGCACTTTGGTGTCTGCCTCCCAGAACGTTTTGCTCAGCTTATAAACATGTGTATGTAAACCCATTTTTAAATAATCCCACACAGCAAAGACCAGGAACTTCATTTCCCTCAGGATCATCTCTGCCTGCACTAGTCTTTGCAAGGAACAAAACGCAAATACTTAAGAGGGATTTTTCTTTATGTATTTATTTAGCAGAAGCACATAGGTAAAGGAATTATTTTTAATTAAACGTACTATCCCAAGGCCAACAACTTCTCCACTATGCATAAATCTCCCTGTGACCAACAACATGTAACCAAGTACCAGGAAGACAAACACACATGCATTCACAATAGATGCTCAAGCCAAATATAATCCATGGACATAGACCCAGGCAAGCTAAAGACACCATTGAACATGGCAGCACTCACACATCACTCTGTGATCTTAAGCCAGTAAATGGTTCTGCTACACCAGGAACCCATGAACTCACTCACGCCCATATGGGTCCCACCAAAGAGAATTGTTTCATCCACAACCCCTTCCTCACACCAGGCAGCAGACTTGGGCTGCACTATTGCATAGGGATGGATTCTTGAGTTCTTCAAAATCAGGGATGTGTATGCTCACCCACCTCTCCTGGCCCCCACCACACCTCAATCTCATGCTCCCCCCTCCCATCAGAGGTAATACTGAAAAGCCAATTTTCTACTTCCATTCCAGTGAAGCCAAGGTCTCTCCCAGAGGCCAGCGAGCATTTGGGATTGTCATTTGCTGTGTTTGAGAGATACAGGTGGCCCTGTCCAAGACAGCCATGGACAGTGAATGTTCATACATTTTAATCACTTTCTTTGAAAGAAATTGCTCCCATGAAGAGTAGGGAGTATGGGGAGAGCATTAAAGATATGCTGTGGGTTGCTAAGGAACAGAAGACATAAAGATTTAAGGAGCAAGTGGGATGAAGGCTATTTCTTTTTTTTTTTTTTTTTGAGACGGAGTCTCGCTCTGTCGCCCAGGCTGGAGTGCAGTGGCGGGATCTCGGCTCACTGCAAGCTCTGCCTCCCGGGTTCACGCCATTCTCCTGCCTCAGCCTCCCAAGTAGCTGGGACTACAGGCGCCCGCCACTACGCCCGGCTAATTTTTTGTATTTTTAGTAGAGACGGGGTTTCACCGTTTTAGCCGGGATGGTCTCGATCTCCTGACCTCGTGATCCGCCCGCCTCGGCCTCCCAAAGTGCTGGGATTACAGGCATGAGCCACCGCGCCCGGCCCGATGAAGGCTATTTCTACAAGCCAAACAAGGGACAGGACTGATGGATGGTTCAGACGGAGGCCATGAATCAGAATTAGTTTTCCATATCCTCCAGGAAACTGGCTTTTCAACTCCTCACTCCTTTTATAGTGACAAAATGTAATATGTTATCCTGCTAATAGGACACCGTGGCACCAAACAACCCTCCTGGGCTGAGCATCATAAGGCAGGACTTAAGTGAGACAATGCACAACGAAGTGGCCAAAGGCAGTGTGACATTAGATGGCAGATAGGGCAAGTAATGGATCCACATGTGCAATCATTTCCAAAGTAGCGACACGAACTGCCCTTCAGAAAGACCTGCCCAGAACTCCCCTCCCCAAAATGCACACCTGAAGATGGAGGAAGCAGACCTCTGAAGGGTGATCTCAGAGTACAGATCAAAATAAATACAGTGTGACAACCATCCAACAAGGTTAAAACAGCAGTGTCTGGGCTAAATGGGTAAAGCCCAGAATTCTTCCACACGATTATCAATTCAAGCTGCTGTAGAGTTGAAATAAAGTCTCCACTAACATACAAACATCCAAATTTATAAATACAATCCATCAACAAAGCCCATCTCATAGCAGCTGGCAATGGCAATCAAAACTGGGAGATTTAGGATTATAAAAAGCAGTGTAAGTAATAAACATGTTATTTAAAAGCTTGAAACTCCCCATCTTGCCACGGCTACCATCCCAGCTGGCACTTTCAAACACCATTGTTTCTCAGATTCTAAGTCTTGTGCTCTGAAGTTTAACACTGTTCATTCTATGCTTTCCCTAACTCTACACAGAGCTTCCCAGGGGGGACACAAGCTATCAGCCCAGGGGTCACCTCGAGCCCTCAACCTGACCACAGCAGCAGAATGACATCTGCCACTTGCTCAGCACAATCACTACTGAAAAACACACCTGGGTAGGGGCCACTTGCCCTTTCCTTCTTAGATCACCCTCTTTTCCCATTTCCTGTACCCTGAATACTATTCATCCTACAGAGAGAACCATCAAGCTGCCAAACAGCAGTTCTTCTCAGGTCCTGCTCTGTGTAACACACCATCTGTAAGACAGGCCAGCTTTGACACAGCTCCCCTCAAATACTTCATCTCCCTACTCTTCTCCCTCACCAAGCTGAGCCTGCCCATCATTGCAGGTTTCACCTAAAGTCCATCTGATTCCTTCCTAATTAGGATTCTTTTCTATTTAATCTAGAGCTGCCTTCTATCTCCTATGACTTGAAGCTATCCAGTCACCCAAACGAATGTATTTATCTTCAGTCCTACTCCTAACATTTGCAGAACCTGGGGCAAGAGTACAAATGGTGGCCCACATGCCATAAATGTAAATATTTTAGTTATACATTAAAACAAATTATTAAAGCATATCCTATCCTATCTTGATATTGATTCATTCATGATGGTAGTCCAGCTTCAAACACAGAATTCTCACTCTGACCCCTGGCCCTGTGCTGGCCCCACCTTCTTTGCCAGCGCCAACCCACACCACAAGGGGTCTCTCACTAATGGAAATGCTGGGCTGCATACACAAGTCCTTCTTTCCCAGCCTCCTCAAATAGCCACTTCTCTGTCATCCCTCGGGCCTCAGAGCGTGCACACTGGCATCATAGTCTGCTCTTGGGATGAGAGAATGAAGCCCACACAGGCCATGGAAGCAGACGGGACATGGAACTCGGGTCCTGGGTATCCAGAGCATCACATACGTTCTGGACTGTAGAAGAGAGAGTGTGGACTCTGTGTGGGCCTGGCCCCTTGGTCCTGCGTATCTCCTGTCCCATGGAGACATACAAACCAAGAGGGCCAGAATGGGACCCTATTGTCAAGGTCTAAGGATGATACCACTCAGCTTCATGGGCATATCCAATTCCTCTTTCAAAACCTAGGTCAGAAGACATCACCACCTCGAGGAAGTCTTCCCTGACCATTCCCTGATCCCACAACAGCCAATCCAGTGGGCTCAATGAATGCTTGTTAAATGAATGCTGTGGAAACACCAGGATGAGCATAGATTCCCTGTAATCCAGACTGAACCTATATTTCAGTCTTTTCTCCCAATAAAGACTTAGATACTTGTGGGCCGTGGCCACATTGACTGAAATACCACGAACCCCTGGGTTCCTCACCTAGGATGCGGGAGTCAAGGTTCGCAGCTGAGAAGCCTGTCAAATTAGGCCTCTTCCTGGCTGAGAGGTCCAGATGCTTTGGGTAACAGGATGTTAAAGGCCACATTTGCTGTGGTCTCAGGGTTGTTGAGGCTGCACAGGGCAAAACCATTCAACAGATGCCAGAACTTCTCCTATCTTTGACCACATCCCCAGGACTTGCTAAGAAACTGAGCTGCCAGCTCTGCTACCTTGAGCCCACCACACACTTCAAGCTCTTTAAGAGAGGGGAAGAATTCACTGGGAAGTCCAAGACATTTCTGCAGAGGGAGGTCAGTGTGCTGCCTATTTCAACACTCCCCCAAACCCCTCTTCTGGACAGGGGACTACCCTGAAAAATGAAAAGCTTCCACTATGGGGACCTCAGGAAACCCTCAAAAGGACCCCATACCCAGCCGGTAACTGTGCATCTGCCACCCTGAAGGTCGTGGTATCAAACTACAATGTCCAGATTCTCATCCGTGATCCTTGACCTTCTCTCCCTGATTCTCCTAACCCCATCCCAGCCCTGCAGTAACTAAGGGAAGGAGAAGGGGAGCAAAATGTGGAGATGAAATCTACTGTGCATCTCTCTTCCCTGTTGCCTGTTCCCAGGCCTGAGCAGATGATGGGGAGAAGGTTTAGATTGGACAAGTGTGTTAGATTGGATTTTGATATTACATTGAACTGACATTTTTAATACATGGGGAAAGAGACTTATTGGTTTATTATCTGAGTAGTAGTTAGAAAAGCTAAAGGACTGAAAAAGAAAGACATAAGAAAGAGCAGGCTGGGCACAATGGCTCACGCCTGTAGTCCCAGCACTTTGGAAGGCGTGGGCAGGAGGATAGCTTGAGCCCAAGAGTTCAAGACCAACCTGGGCAACATGGTGAAACCCTGTCTCTACAAAAAAATATGAAAATTGACCAGGGGTGGTGGCTCATGTCTGTGGTCCCAGCTACTAGGGAGGCTGAGGTGAGAGGATCACCTCAGTGTGGAAGGTCAAGGTTGCAGTGAGCCATGATCGCGCCATCATACCCCAGACTAGGTGATAGAGTGAGACCCTGTCTCACAAAAACAAAAAACAACAACAACAACAGCAAAATGCACCCTACTTGTGCCTACCAAGTCCAGCTTGTTCAATAAGCCAATCATACTTCCATTAACTCACAGGTATAAATTACCTTGGCAGCTAAAGGCACACATGACCGTTATGACATTCCCATGATACCCGCCTCCATTCAGCTGCCCTAGGGGGAAAAATTAATTAGGTCATCGATTGGAGTTCTGTAAGACTGAGAAAGTCATTTTGTTCCCTGCTCAAATTATAAGTCACCCATTAAACTGGCTTTAGTTTCTCCTCTTTTCATTTTAAATCCACATATATCATGAGACCTATAAGCCAAGTAAAGAAGAGTCCCCTTGGCTGTAATTGAATGCCATTATCTTCCCTGTAATTCACTGATCTTCCACTTTCCTAAGAGATGTCCTCTTCATCACAACCATCACTCACACATCAGACCACAGGGGAGCTGCTGAATACTTCCTCCCCGGGTAATTTAAGACATGCTAGTATTTCAGCTGAACATGTATGTGAGAAAGAAACATTTTTGCTCCCTAAAAGCTGTTTGGAAAACCTGGTTGAAATTTTTTGCCTATTTCCAACATATATCTAGCAGAATGAACTCTAAAAAAAATACAGATAAGTACTTCAATTATTTAGCATGGAATTAACCAATAGCCTTGTGACCTCTGTCATCTTCTAGAATCTTCTGTGTATTTAGGAAAAAAATGTCTCTCAGAGGGCCCATGTTTTCAGATAATTTTTCTGGCTGCCTCAGAACTGTGTGGAAACATTATACCCAGGAAATCATTCAGATACAGTATTTTTCTATGATTCTAATGGAACCAAACCTAACTGGAATTCCACTGTGGAGTTAACTCAAATAATCAAACACCATAAACCAAACAAGAAACTAACACCAAAAGGTATATATATGATTGCTTTAATCCCCACCTGAAGCCTTGTTGATCTACACCAGCCCCCAGGAATCTTGTCTCCCCCTGACTTTCTAAAGCTTTAATGTCCAAAAGTATTTTCTGCCATAATGGAAATATTTATATCTGCACTGTCCAATAAGGTAGCCATTAGCCACAGGTGGCTAGTGCAACTGAGACACTGAATTCTTTATTTAAGTTTAAACAGTCATAATATATGACTGTGGCTACCATTCTGGACAGCACAGTTCTAAAGCACTTGTTATTGCTGGCAATGGAGAGAACTGTCTTGAAGAATGGGTCTTGTAGCTAACCAAGCTTTCTGGCAAACTAAGGAGCAATCATTAAACCTTTGTTTTGCTAAACGGTTTTTTTGTTGTTGTTTGTTTTTGTTTTGTTTTGTTTTGTTTTTTGAGATGGAGTCTCACTCTGTCGCCCAGGCTGGAGTGCAGTGGCGCAATCTCGGCTCACTGCAAACTCTGCCTCCTGGGTTCACGCCATTCTCCTGCCTCAGCCTCCCGAGTAGCTGGGACTACAGGCGCCTGCCACCACGCCCGGCTATTTTTTTGTATTTTTAGTAGAGACGGGGTTTCACCGTGTTATCCAGGATGATCTGGATCTCCTGACCTCGTGATCCACCCGCCTCGGCCTCCCAAAGTGCTGAGATTACAGGCGTGAGCCACCGCGCCCAGCCACCAAATGGTTTTTTAAAACTTATTTTGAAGCGGCAATTCCTTTTCATCTTATTTCTCCTTTGTTTTCAAAAGACATCTCTTCTATGACAATGGCACTGCTTTAGACATTAGGATGGATGCCTCTCTAAAATGACTTAAGAAAAAAAAATACAATACACCCATATACCTTTTTGAACAGCATCCACTGAGCATAATTTAATCTTCCCTGAAGGCCTCAGGGTCACTGTTATAAACACAGGCTATCAGACTCAGAAAAAAATGCATCAATTACTATAATGCCCCTTAATGCAATGAAGCCCTCAGGGTCACTGAGCTCAGTGGGACTATTTAGACCTACCCCAGGCACAGAATTTTATAGCTTTCTGTCACATCTGTTGCCTAGCTATTAATGTCAAGCTCTATTACTGTCAGGGTGTCTGCCTATATTTACTTACTACTTACCTTGTTTTCAAAAGGTGCTTGCCTGTGTCTATGGATGCTTCTTTTCCCCTCTCATTTGTTGCCTCTGATTTGCTAATTTCGGGGTGCTAGAACTGGAGTTAGAAATGTTTGTAAAGTAGGAATAGGGTATAAATAAGGATGTAAAGGGTTATCAGTAAATTCTGGTTTTAATGCTGGGACCTCTTGAAATTCATCAGCTCAGAGTCTCCTCCGCTTACTTCTTGGTTCCAGGCAGAGAGCTTGTGTAACAGCTGTTTACAGATGGGTCAGGTATTTTAGTTGTCTGCTGAAAGGGATCGCATGCTTGCCCTTAACTGTGATTTAACTTTTTGCTCAGTATTACTTGTTTCCCCAAATAGCATATAAACACTTTGGCAACAGAGGAATTAAAAACCTGGGGGAGTGAAGGGGGAAATAATATGCTTATTCTTATTTGTATTCCCTCCAATACTTTGCCTGGCACTATTCACCTGGAAGGGTGCAACTGGATATTGAATGAACTAATCATGTGTTTTACTTTGGGGTTTATGTTCACAGAGCTCAGGCATAATTAAAAAATGATTTTCACAGTTAAACATTACTCAAAGCAGAAACTGCAGATGCTTGACAATGATTAGGTATTGATATTTCTTAGCTATTTTAATCTGATTTGTTAGGAATGGTTAAAACTTAATTCCCATAGCTATATTCAATTATATTCATGATATGATCAGATGCCTATCACCCCGACAACTCTTGCTTTTTGAGCCCAGAAAGGTGACCCAGAAAGATTCTAGAATTTTAAATAAACAGAAATGAACCAGTGAAATTCCAGAAATGAACTCAGCACTCCAAGAAAATCTCCCCAGGATCCTTAAGCATGAGACAACAATCACACCTCTGGTCTTAGATAACGCAGTCCTATCAATGCAGCCTAGGAGTGAATCCTCTTGTATAAGCAGCCACATCATACTGTTGATTCATATTTGAACTTATAATCAACTTGAGGCATCCCCCACCCCAGTCTTACTTTGCTAATTATTACCCTCCATTCCCTACCCTAGTCAGTCATCCCAAGATCTGGAAGAAGCCAAAATGAAAACTCTCTGGAAAAATTTAGACAGGCCCATCCCTACAGATGTTCTTTTCAGAAATATGACTCCATGAAATCTCAAATTTTCACAGTTCTGTAATTCACTGACACTCTCAGTGTCTTGTTTTCTTCATCCATCCTGCAACATTTGCAGGGATCCAGCTTTGGCCTGAAAGAGCAGTGCTCGCCTATGTCAGTCACTCAGAGAATGCACATGGCTTCCCAGGAAATAATCAGTTTCATCCAAAGAATCTTAAAAGTCTAAGTCTGGCTGGAAAGATTCCTTCTTAAGCATAAGCATGAGTCAATTCTGGCCATGTCTGAGTCACCAAAATGGGCAGGAGGGAGTGTGTCCGCAGGAAGGAAAGCTCTCACTTCATCAAGAGATTATACAGAGCCACTGGTCCCACAACCTGCATCCCACTTGCTCCAGCCTCCAGGTCCTTGCAAAGCAGCCTCCAGGTCCTTGCAAACAGGAAGATCCACAAAGTGCCAGGGGACACACAGGGGCGAGGGACCCTCAGAGAAACACCTGACAGGCTGAACTATGGAGCAGGAGGCAAAACCAACTCACCAACAGCCAATCACTAGAAGGTTTCTAGTGTGGCAGAAAGGTATTAGGTTGGTGCAAAAGTAATTGCAGTTTCTGCCCATACATACATACATACATACATACATATTTATTTGAGATGGAGTCTCACTCTGTCACCCAGGCTGGCGTGCAGTGGTGCGATCTTGGCTCACTGCAAGCTCCACCTCCTGGGTTCACGCCATTCTCCTGGCTCAGCCTCCCGAGTAGCTGGGACTACAGCTGCCCGCCACTACGCCTGGCTAATTTTTTTGTATTTTTAGTAGAGACAGGGTTTCACCATGTTAGCCAGGATGGTCTCGATCTCCTGACCTCATGATCCACCTGCCTTGGCCTCCCAAAGTGCTAGGATTACAGGTGTGAGCCACCATGCCTGGCCTCTGCCATTACTTTTAATGGCAATTACTTTTGCACCAACCTAAAGAACACCCTTCTATTTTGCATGGGGACAGCTATGATAGGCAGCTTCCTTCTGCTATTTCATCCAGCTTTCACCTACCTCCTGCATATGAGAAGGGCAGGAGAATGAAGGGATTATAGACATGTGAGAGCTGGGCAAATGAAGATGGTTTTTTGGTGGGGGAGGGGGTTGTTTAATTCTTTTAACTAAAAGGCATCTTCTCCTCTACTGGGATTTTGGATTTAAGAGTAGCATAGCACAATGGGGAAAATCATCGGTTTTTGGAATGAGGCACACCCAGGTCTAAATTTCAGCTCTGTGATCTTGGCTAAATTACTTGACTTCTTGGCCTCAGTTTCCTCAGCTGATATTGTGAGAGAGTTTGAGGTGACTATATGTAAGCACTCAATAAATGACAGCTAATTGGTCTTGAACTCTAGAGGAGTCCCAGCAAGGCCTAATGGAGTGGAAAGAAACCAGGCTGGCTGTTTAGGGACTTGTTCAAGGGGGAGAAAGGTTCTTGCTTTTGAGGTTTTTTCCAGATTGTCTAATTCATTTCCCTAAGTTGGAATAAGTTCTGGAGAGAAGCTCAGTCTGCTTCTGTTGAAACATAGCTTAGGAGTAAAGAAAGGAGGTTGAGGGAGTTGTCACAAGTGAGACACTTCTGTTTTCTGTCTTTCAGACAAGATCAGAACAACCCTTCAGCTACAAAGCAAACAAATTAACTCAGAGTGGAGAGTGAGTAAAATTTAATGACATTTACGCAGGATGATAAATTTGCCCCAGTGTGTGCAATAAATAGAAATAATGTAGGGAGAAATGCCCATATGTTAGAGAAACTTCAGGAAAAATAAACACTTTTTTATGTGCACATGGTTATTTATAAATAGTTTCAGGTTGGTTGTCTATGTTGTCCCCTTGTAAAATTGTTGAGATTCGGGCCCATAACACTTTATGCCTTCCTGAAGCAATATCCACCTTCAACTCTGCAAAATCTATTTGTGCATGGGTCTCACCTGCCCTTCTAGGACAATAAATTCACCCAGGAAAAATTCATGTCTTCTTCCTTTCTGAATCCTCAGCGTTGCACATAGTAGGTCCTTATAAAGGTAACTGCTGAAGGGACAGAGGAAAGAACATCTAACAGATTATCTACAAACCTGAGGGTCTGTGTTTGTGTGTGTTTGAAACAATACTGTGTTTTATCACTACCAACAGAAGTGGCCTTCAAGGGGTGGTCGGTACACTGAGTTCAAGGGATGTGTGGGCTGTGAAGAGAAATGGAAAGTAGGGGGCTAGAAGGAAAGGGAGTAGGTCTGGAGGCCAGGCTCAAGGGCACCTCAGATTCTCTCATGGGCATGGCCAGCCGGGATGAAGGAGTCAGGGCAAGCCACAGCTACACCATCAGTAAGACTGAGAAAGTCCTGAAAATCTAGCCTGCCCATCACAGTTGAAGTCCAGTTTCTTCATCATGCAGTCAAGGGCACCAGAGCCCTTCTGGTTCTTTGTGAAGGCAACCAGTACAGTGTTCATGAAGTTTAGGAACCCCCTCTGGGAGAGTTTGCAGCTGTTATGGTCCCGTCCAGCATACCTCTCTGGAAAACAGCACAGGGTCGTGATGCACCACCATGCAATCTCTGTGCAGCCGGAGATTTTTGCAGTGTTGGAGTTGAGCAAAGAACTGTATGCTGTGACTCCAGAGCAGTTTTCTTTTTTGTTGTTGTTGTTGTTGTTGTTGTTTAAGAGACAGGGTGTCTCACTCCGCCACTCAGGATGGACTGCAGTGACACAGTTGTAGCTTACTGCAGCCCCAGATTCCCAGCCTCAAGTGATTCTCTCACCTCAGTCTCCTGAGTAGCTGGGACTACAGGTGTGCACCACCATGTCTAGCTAATGTTTTTTATATTTTTGTAATGATAGGGTCTTGCTATGTTGCCGAGGCTGGTCTCAAATTCCTGGGCTCAAGCAATCCTCCCACCACAGCCTCCCAAAGTGCTGGGATTGCAGGTGTGGGCCACTGTGCCCAACCCAGTTTTCTACGGATACGTCTTTGATTGCACCTAAATGGAAAGCCCAACTCGCCCATTTTCATCCCAAGTGGCTGCGTATTAGGGGATTTTCTTATATTTGCCCTTGATCATCTTCAAGATAAAGAAGTATTTGAGGTTATAACTAAATGAGGTGTTCAGTTATGCTTGAGTGTTATCAGACTGAACAAACTCTGAAATTTTCATCTAAGGAAAAGCTACAAGCATACCATAAAGCCAAGTCACCAAAAAGCCACTGAAGCAGCTCTGCAAATAGCTATTTACTTAAGACAAACAGTGATGGATAGCTAATGGGTTGGCTGGAAGGCTGATTTCATCTACTTTGTCACCTGCATGTGCTTTCTGTGGGAATCTGAGTCCGGGAGTTAAAAATCGGTGAGCTGGTCAAATAGGTAGGGCTTATTTTCAACCCTGTCTTATTTTTGCTCAAAACTGCTGCCTTCTTTTTCTTCCGGATCTAGGACTTCATCTGACATGTCACATGATCATCTAGTTACCCTAGGCTAGGCACAGGCAGCGTCCCACAAAGCATCTGATGTGTCTGCTTTTGATGGGAGGAAGATGCAACCGTAAGGTCAGAGAGGACCATCAGGAGGTGGTATTTCAAAAGCACCCACTGAAAGGCACATTGTCAGACTCATTGGCAGACATGTACCAGCGCAAAACAGGGCTTGACAGCATTAATGACTAACTACCAACAACAGAGAGTCACAGAAGAATGGTGGCTTCTGGATTTCCTTGAGAGGAACTAAGAGGTCTGGGGTAGGGAATAGATGTCTCCTCTTTGGCAGCCTGCTCCAGACTCAGATGACCTCAATAGTCTCATTGACTTGGCTCTGACTTGCCTCCTTCTCCAGGCAAGTCTCAGTTAATAAATGAGAATCTTCCTCTGCTATTTGAAGCCATCACTCAATCCACCATAATAGACACTAAAATGTAAGCTCCAAAGAAGAAAAAGTGTGAGAAATCAGGATCCATTTTGCAGAAACAATCTCTAGAGATCACACACAGAAAAAAAAAAAATTGAAGAGCAAATTTTCCAAAAAGTTTCTTGGCTTTAAGCCCATTATAAAATAATAATACATGTTCATTATTGACATTTAAGGGAAAAACTGAAAATTAGAAGGAAGAAAAACATATCCACAGTCCCAATACCCAAAGACAATCACTGTTAACTTTTTATTCCAATTTAAGATCAAACTTGAGTTCCACTTTTTCAATAGAAACAAAAGTTCATTGCCCCTGTAAACCCAGAGGATGTATTCTTTGATACTGAACAATTACAGCGCTAAGTGTGCGAAGAGGTGAGTAACAATCATCAAACCAAAGTGAGTCACTGAGGGGGAAACGATGGGGACCAGCCAAAATTCTGGGAGCCAAGTTGTTTCTTTTGAAATAGTTTTCAAAGGTTGTCTGTGTTCATACTTTCAGATTACCTGAACATAACCTGGATGCTACTGAGGAGGTATTTCACAAATGCAGTACTTGGAAATCTATAAAGGTTTTATCTTTCCTCTGAGTAGCCATTTCCTGAAGTTCACAAAAAGCAGACAAGCAGAGGTCACAGAAAAGCACTTTCTGGCATGCCAGCGTTCCCGCACTGAGGAAGAACACTGGGAATATCATAACCAAAAGACCTCAAGCTGTCCCTGGAGTGTAGCAGTACAAGCAATAGCTGAATCAACCTATTCTCATCACAGACCTGCAGCCTCCTCTACTGCAAAATATTCCAAACTGTGGCTCTATCTAGTACCAATCTGACATAAAAAATATCTTCAAGGCCACAGAGATGCCAAAAACCACATCTCATGTCAGCTCCATAGAGAAGACTAAATGTCTTGCCACTGCAGCAAGGAAATGTATTTTAAGAGATAAACACACACAGTATTGAGAATAAGGCTCACTCATCGGAAGGACATACATCCCTGGTATTCATGTTTCTGAGTATTATTATGGCTGCAGCACAAAGAAAATCTATCCACTAGTGGAGTTTTAAGTTCATAAATACCTCCAAAGAAGCTTTCCTCAAATGTAAATACCTAATGCATGTGGGGCTTAAAACCTAGATGACGGGTTAATAGGTGCAGCAAATCACCATGGCACATGTATACCCACATAAACCTGCATGTTCTGCACATGTATCCCGGAATTTAAAGTAAAACTTAAAATTTTTTAAAAATAATAATTAAAAAAAATAAGTTATTGAATGAAAGCAACTGCTAGAAGATGCTTTTGTCTTGCAATTATACTTCTGGTTTCCCACACTACATGGCGAGGCAAGGCCATGCTCTTCTCTGTCTCCACTCCTTTGCTCATGAGAACTCCTCTGTCTGGAATGCTCACTCTTTCCTCAAGTTCTCGCAGCATCTTCTGCATACTTCTACCACCTCACTTCACTCTTGCATTTATTCAACTACAGATTTATTGAGCTCCTAACATGTGCCAAGCATTAGTCTAGGTACTAAGGGTAAAATGACATAAACACAAAGTCTCTGATGTCTTAGAGTTTATATCTAGAGAAAGACACAGGCAATTAACATAAAATACAACATAATGCCAGGTAGTAATTAATGCTATGAAGAAAAGTAATGCAAAGAATGCTAAAATTTTGTGTGTGTGTGTGTGTGTGTGTGCAAGTTCATGTGCATGTATACAATGAATAAAAACTGACTAGATAGGTGGGATGGATGGATGGATGCATGCATGCACGCATGGGTGGATAGATGGGTGAGTGGAAGGATGGATGGGTAGGTAGGTAGATGGGTGGGTGGGTGGGTGGGTGGATGGATGGATGGATGTGGAGACATCTTAAATATTACAAAGGTTTTTTAGAGAGTAAATCCTTAAGGAGTATGAAATAGTTTTCATTCATTTATGAGTGTAAGTGCAGCTGTCACAACCTGTCTAAACCATCATTGCATCATTCTCATATAGGTAGGTCATTACTCACATCATCATCTTACTTATCTTCTTGCCCCTGCCCTACCAGACCCCCTTGCTTTAGGCCAAGAGATGTACTTCAAGCGTTCAGGGTGTGCTATGTTCATTCTCAACTCTGTGACTTTCCACCTGCACAGTTCCTTCTGCCCTGAACACTCTCCTTTGTCCAGGCTGAATATCTTTTCCTTTAAGACTGACCTCAAGCTTCACTTTCTCCTTTCTTGACAAGACTGTGCTGCCACAAGAAGATCCCTGTGGTAAATCTCCATCATGGCACTTTTTGTACGATTATATGTCTTCTTCCTCAACTGTGATAGACAGCCTCCAAAATAGTCCTCAAGGACACTCACTTCCTGGTACCAATGCTTGTGTAGAGTCCCTTCCCTATTGAAAGAGGGCTGAGCTGCAAGACCAGTGAAATATAGCAGAAGTGATGGTGTCTGGCTTCTGAGGCTAAGCCATAAAAGGCATTGCAATTTTTGGCGTGATCACTTGGATCACTTGCTCAAAAGGAAAGCCAGCTACCACATTTCAGGACACTAGGGCAGCACCATGAAGACGCCCATGTGGAAAAGAAGCAATGTTCCAGTCATATGAGTGAGCCATCTTAGACATGTATCCTCTAAAACTTAAATTTAAAAAAAAAAAGTATCCTCTAGCACCAGTCAAGCCTTTAGATGTCTGCAGTCCTAGCCAACATTTGGGATGTAAACTCATGACAGACCCTGAGCAGAACTACGTGGCCAAGCTGATCCTGAATTCCTGACCTGCAGAAACTGTGAGAGGTAAGAAATGTCCCTCGTAATTTCAATTTCAAGCCACTAAGTGTTGGGTAATTTGTTACAAAGGAAGAAATAACTAATACACCAACCACAGAGTTCTTTAAAGACAGGACTTTTGGAAAAAAACAAAAAACAAAAAACGCCGAGCACAGTGGCTCATGTCCGTAATCCCAGCACTTTGGGAGGCCGAGATGGGCGGATTACTTGAGGTCAGGAGTTCAAGGCCAGCCTGGCCAACATGGTGAAACCCTGTCTCTACTAAAAATACAAAAATTAGCCAGGCACAGTAGCACACGCCTGTAATCCCAGCTACTCTGGAGGCTGAGGCAGGATAATCGCTTGAGCCTGGGAGGCGGAGGTTGCAGTGAGCTGAGACGGCACCACTGCATTCCAGCCTGGGTGACAGAGCAAGGCTCTGTCTCAAAAAAAAAAAAAAAAGACAGGACTTTTGCCCTCCATGTCCACAATCCCTAATACCTACAGCAGTGTCTGACACACTGCAAGAGCTTCAAAAATGTACAGTGAATCAATGAAAAAGAATTTTTTGGCTTATGAACTACAGAAATTTACTTCTCACAGTTCCACAGGCCAGGAAGTCCAAGATCAAAGCACCAACAGATTCAGTGTCTATGAGGGCCCACTTCCTGGCTCATAGATGGCTGTCTTCCTGTTGTGTCCCCACATGGCAGAAGGGCTGAATGTTTTTTAAAAACTGACATTCATTGAGTCCTGTTTATGCCAGACACTTCCCTAAGCACTTTACATCTGTTATCTTATTCAGTCCTATGAAACAGGCACTACTGTCCCCACGCTGACAATGAGGGAACTGAAGCACAAAGAGATTCAATAACTTGCTCAAGGTCACACCGCAAGTAACAGAGCCAGACTTTGGACCCAAGAATTTGAGTCCAACATATCATTCTTAGCCATTATGCAAAATTATTTTTCAATAAGCTACTTGGAGACAGAGAGGACCTAATTCATCTCTATACACCTCGTGGGACACAATGCCCCAAAAATATGTGAATGAATGATCATGACCAGACATCCCTTTCACACTTGATTACAAATCCTTTCAATAACCGACACAAATTATTTCATACAGTGTCTTGATATTAGCCAGCTTGTCTGTTTCTTCTGGATTCAAGTCAAATTCTAAATATAAATTGAATTTCATTCTTGAAAGGCACTGTGAAATTCCACTGAACAACTGCTGTTATCCAACTTCTCTCTGATTCTCTCCCACCTACTACTCCCACTGTTCTGCTGGCTTTGTCTCCTCTCCCAGCAGCCACCCCCACAACAGAGGTTTGGGATAAATTAGGGATATCAAAGAATGGTGCCCTCATCAGACTCAGTCCTTCTTGGTTTCGCTTCCTCACCATGGCCCTGCCCTTGGTCCCTCATCCAACTGAGAGCCACTGGGACCTGGGGGCCTAACTGTGCTGCGCTCTCCATTGTGGGAAAACATGGGGCCTCCTACTATTTCTGCATCCCTGGACTTCACTCCTGGCAGGCTCAAGAGTGACTCATTCTTCCTCCATTTACTGTAGACCTGCTCTGTGCCAGGTAGTGTGTGAGGAACATGCCTCCAGAAGTTTAAGACCAAGGAGAGGAGCAGAAGAGAGTACAGAGAGCTATAAAGCAGTGGATATGTGGTGTAAGGAAGACAGCAACTGCAGGAAGACCCTCCAATAAGGAACACCTGAACCGGGGGCCACCCGTCTTCATCCCTGAACTCAAATACTGGTTGGTCTTATTTGGAGCAGCCCTAGTTGTTGAGAATTTCTCTCTTTTTTGCAGAGTAGTGTATTCGTTAGCGAAATATATAACTTGACAGGCTTAATTAGTACATATTCTTTATATGCTTTCATTTCATTTCAATAGCTGCTAAAAGCAAGGACAGTTCATCTTTAATGAATTAATTAGAGCTAATACATCCACATGGCAAAACATTCAAACAATGCAAATAGACACACAATGAAAAGTAAGTCTCTCCTCCCATCTTCCCCCAGATCTCAAGTTTCTTTCCAGAAGCAATCGCTGACACCAATTACCAGTGCCTCTTTCCAGAAATATCACATGCTTTATGAATGGACAGATTTTTACAAGTGAAAACACACAATGTACACTTTTCCTTTTCCACTTAATGACATATCTTAGAGTTCATTCTATAAGAGCATATCTATCTCTATTCTTTTTAATATAGCTGCATAGGATTTTATTATATAGATATAACATAATTAATCAGTCTTCTAAGGATGTTCAATTGGATTGTTTCCAGTGATTTGAAGCAGTTCAATGTTCCCATAGCTACCGAAAAGAACAATGAATAAATAATATTTCATTCTATTGTGACAGTTTAATAAAGAAATAAATCATAGCTTTGAAAGAAAAACTGATCCCATTTATTTTCCCTTCTTTTTGTTTTCTGAGATCATCATTCACATATAAGTTCAATAACCCAGGTAGTGCAGATCTTGTCTAATTTAATATTTTACTGGAAACCCTATGGGTACAAAACTAAAAACTCAGGAGATTCCTTTCCAAGGTAACATGTGGTTATCATGGCAGAGATACTTTTCAAATACAGATGAGAAGACTGCAGTAGAGCCTTTGTAGAGCTCACTGGTGCCAGCTCCATTTCCTCATTTAAGAAATTGAGGAAATGAGTCCTATCATAAACCACTTTTTCTCCATCAAGATTAGAGATGTAATTTAAATGTGTCACACAGGTTAATATTCTGGGTGCCTCTTCAAGGGTCTGTGAATAAAGCTGTATTTCAATATATTTGTTTTTTTTTTCAATTCCATAAATACAACTTTCATTCTGAGAAGGACCCAAGAGCTTCGCCAGACTGCCAAAGGGGCTCATGGCACCAAAAAGGAGAAAACTATCTGGCTATTAGTGAGTTAAAATCTATTTGGGGCACCAAAAAAAATCAAGTACTTTGAAAAAGTCTCCCTGAAAATCTCTAACCAAAAGCCCCATTCATTTGGGTTTAGGACCAGATTCACACTAGTAGTGTGAGTTGGAAGAATGATAACAACTTGAGCTAAAGATGTGATTAAACCACCCCTTGGTGGGCACTGTGCCATGGCTGGAATAAATTCAAATGTGTCCTCTCTGGAGAAAGTCACTTTAAACACAGGGCTCTAACAATCCCCACAGATAAAGTTTTAAGGAAATAGGTTTATAACAAAAAAAAAAAATCACTAAAAAGAAGAGCAAATGGGCCAAGCATGGTGGCTCATGCCTGTAATCGCACCACTGTGGGAGGCCAAGGCAGGAGGGTCCCTTCAGCCCAGGAGTTCAAGACTAGCCTGGGCAACATAACAAGACCCTGTCTCTTTAAAAAATAAGAGTAAACGAATCACTCTAAATGAAAGTCATCAGAAAACTGGAAATATTACAATGATCAGATATAGAATATAAAATAAGTTTAATATGCATAAAGAAATAAAACAGGATTACACAAATTATGGAAAAGATAATTAAGCAAATTAAGCAAATCATTTTGAAAAGCTACAAAGAATTTCTGAAATATAAAATATAATAATGAAAACAGAAAACAGATAAGTAGCATATATCAGACATAGCCAAGGACATAATTTATGGACCATAAGATGGACCTAAAGAAATTACCCAGAGTGCAGCACAGAGAGACAAAAGTTAAAATACATGAAAGAAGTGATATGGAGTCAGTGATATGGGGGACAGAGTGAAGTTTAACACACGTCTAGCCAGATTTCCAGAAGGAAAAAAATATGGAAATTGGATAGAGGCAATATTCAAACAAATAAGGACTAACAATTTTTAAGTATTAAGGCATGAATTCTCAGATTAAAGAAGCATGATAAATGCCAAGCAGAATAAATAAAATCAGTATCTAGACATTAAAATTTTCAACATTTAGTGAAACTGAAGAAAGCAAAATCAAGAAGAGTATAAAAGCAGTCAGAGTGAAAAGACAGATCACTGACAAAGATTGAGCTAACTTTTCAGCATCAAAAATGGAAGGAAAAATACATCTTCAAAGAGTTGAGAGAAAATAACTGTCAGCTACCAATGACTTTCTTCACAGAATTGGAAAAAACTACTTTAAAGTTCATATGGAACCAAAAAAGAGCCCGCATTGCCAAGTCAATCCTAAGCCAAAAGAACAAAGCTGGAGGCATCATGCTACCTGACTTCAAACTATACTACAAGGCTACAGTAACCAAAACAGCATGGTACTGGTACCAAAACAGAGATATAGATCAATGGAACAGAACAGAGCCCTCAGAAATCATGCCGCATATCTACAACTATCTGACCTTTGACAAACCTGACAAAAACAAGAAATGGGGAAAGGATTCCCTATTTAATAAATGGTGCTGGGAAAACTGGCTAGCCATATGTAGAAAGCTGAAACTGGATCCCTTCCTTATACCTTATACAAAAATTAATTCAAGATGGATTAAAGACTTAAATGTTAGACCTAAAACCATAAAAACCCTAGAAGAAAACCTAGGCAATACCATTCAGGACATAGGCATGGGCAAGGACTTCATGTCTAAAACACCAAAAGCAATGGCAACAAAAGCCAAAATTGACAAACGGGATCTAATTAAATTAAAGAGCTTCTGCACAGCAAAAGAAACCACCATCAGAGTGAACAGGCAACCTACAGAATGGGAGAAAATTTTCGCAACCTACTCATCTGACAAAGGGCTAATATCCAGAATCTACAATGAACTCAAATAAATTTACAAGAAAAAAACAAACAACCCCATCAAAAAGTGGGCAAAGGATATGAACAGACACTTCTCAAAAGACGACATTTATGCAGCCAAAAGACACATGAAAAAATGCTCATCATCACTGGCCATCAGAGAAATGCAAATCAAAACCACAATGAGATACCATCTCACACAAGTTAGAATGGCAATCATTAAAAAGTCAGGAAACAACAGGTGCTGGAGAGGATGTGGAGAAACAGGAACATTTTTACACTGTTGGTGGGACTGTAAACTAGTTCAACCATTGTGGAAGTCGTGTGGCGATTCCTCAGGGATCTAGAACTAGAAATACCATTTGACCCAGCCATCCCATTACTGGGTATATATCCAAAGGATTATAAATCATGCTGCTATAAAGACACATGCACACATATGTTTATTGCGGCACTATTCACAATAGCAAAGACTTGGAACCAACCCAAATGTCCAACAATGATAGACTGGATTAAGAAAATGTGGCACATATACACCATGGAATACTATGCGGCCATAAAAAATGATGAGTTCATGTCCTTTGTAGGGACATGGATGAAGCTGGAAACCATCATTCTCAGCAAACTATCGCAAGGACAAAAAACCAAGCACCGCATGTTCTCACTCATAGGTGGTAACTGAACAATGAGAACACATGGACACGGGAAGGGGAACATCACACACTGGGGACTGTTGTGAGGTAGGGGGAGGGGGGAGGGATAGCATTAGAAGATATACCTAATGCTAAATGACAAGTTAATGGGTGTAGCACACCAACATGGCACATGTATACATATGTAACAAACCTGCACGTTGTGCACATGTACTCTAAAACTTAAAGTATAATAATAATAAAAAAAAAAGAAAAGAACTGTCAACCTAGAATAATACATCCAGTAAAAGTATCTATCAGGACAAGGGTGATATTAAAACATTTATGCAAAATGGATCCACTATCCAAAAATGGATGGAGCTTATAACTAGCATGCCCTCACTAAAGGAATTTTTAAGGGATATGCTCAGAAAAGAAGGTCTGAGATGCCCGAAGGAATATGTAAGCAAGGAAAACTATAAATGTGGATAAATCTAATTTAATGTTCATTGTGTAAAGGTTGAAAACAATGACTGATTAGTGAATTTTTAAGAAATCAATGTAGAAAAGTATGGATAATAATGTCATGTTAAGCCAGGCTTAGAAAACTTGGATTCTAATTACATATATTGTATAAAATGAGGGAAAAGATATTAATTAACTTTAGACCTTGTTAAATTAATACACATGTTTAAGCTTCTAGGTTAACTACTAAAAGAATAGAAACAGAGTGTTTAAGTTAATAAAGAAACAAAATAGGCCGGGCGCGGTGGCTCACGCCTGTAATCCCAGCACTTTGGGAGGCCGAGGCGGGCGGATCACGAGGTCAGGAGATCGAGACCATCCCGGCTAAAAACGGTGAAACCCCGTCTCTACTAAAAATACAAAAAATTAGCCGGGCGTAGTGGCGGGCGCCTGTAGTCCCAGCTACTTGGGAGGCTGAGGCAGGAGAATGGCGTGAACCCGGGAGGTGGAGCTTGCAATGAGCCGAGATCCCGCCACTGCACTCCAGCCTGGGCGACAGAGCGAGACTCCGTCTCAAAAAAAAAAAAAAAAAAAAAAAAAAAGAAACAAAATAGGTGAGGAAATAACCAATCCAAATGAAGACAAATGGGGGCAAAAAGAAAACAGAAAAAGTGGAACAAAAAGATGTCACATAAAATAAGATGGTAAAAATAAATCCAAATATTTTCGTAATGATAATCAACGTAAATAGACTAAATGTTCCAGATAAAAGGCAAAGACTCTCAGAATATAGTTTAAAAGAAATAAGCTAGCTATATGATGTTTGTCCTTTTATTTATAAAAATATCAAAAAGTTGGAAGTAAAAGGATGAGGAAAGACATACCCGGAAAATACCAACCAAAGTAAAGCTATGTGGCTGTTTTAACATCAGATAAGTTTTGAGGTCAAAACTATTATAGATAAGTAGCTAGAAGAGAGAACTCAAAATGTACCCGATGCATAGAATTGATAAATACTCAGCCGGGCACGGTGGCTGTAATCCCAGCACTTTGGGAGGCCAAGGCAGGCGGATCACGAGGTCAGGAGATCGAGACCATCCTGGCTAACACAGTGAAACCCCGTCTATACTAAAAAAAAAAAAAAAAAAAAAAATTAGCCGGGCATGCTGGTGGGCGCCTGTAGTCCCAGCTACTCCGGAGGCTGAGGCAGGAGAATGGCATGAACCCGGAAGGCGGAGCTTGCAGTGAGCTGAGATCACGCCACTGCACTCCAGCCTGGGCGACAGAGCGAGACTCAGTCTCAAAAACAAAAACAGAAACAAAAAAAAAGAATTGATAAATACTCAAGGTGATAGATACCCCCAAATACCTTGATCTGATCAGTATATATCCTATGCATGTAACAAAATATCTCATGTACTCCATTAATAAGTAAAATATTATGTATCAATTTTAAAAGGTAAAAAACCATAGTTAAAGAAGGTCATTTCACAATTAAAAATTTCAATTTAGGCCAGACACGGTGGCTCACACCCGTAATCCCAGCACTTTGGGAGGCCAAGGCAGGTGGATCACCTGAGGGCCTGACCAACATGGTAAATTCCCATCTCCACTAAAAATACAAAAAAATTAGCCAGGAGTGGTGACACACATCTGTAATTTTAGCTACTCAGGAGGTTGAGGCAGGAGAATTGCTTGAATCCGAGAGGCAGAGGTTGCAGTGAGCTGAGATCGTGCCACTGCACTCCAGCCTATGCAACAGAGCAAGACTCTGTCTCAGAAAATAAATAAATAAATAAATTCAGTTTACTTGGCTGACAAAGATTCTAAGCTTGAGAGTCCCAGGGTTACACCTTAAAAAAAAAAAAAAAAAAACCTTCAAATCCCTGCAGTCTGATCACAGAGAAGCAGAAAGGGGGAAAAGTCAATAGAGGAAGAACACTTCTCATCCCACAAGAAGTCTTCCAAGACTTCTAACAGTGGAGACTCGTATACCTTGATCTTTGGAACTGAATCTAGTCAAAAAGTTTAAATGACAGCAATTCCAAAGAGTGACAAGGAGTCAAATAATTGACGTCACAGGTTCCTCTTTAATGAACTGCCTCTTCGTTGGCATGGAAGGCCCACGTGCTGCCTGCATCCTTGCTCTCCTTGGCCGGGGATTGCTGGCCAGCATGACCACTGGCCCAGTATTCAGGGCCCCTGCTGAAAGCAGCAACCCTCCACCTGTCACCACGGGCACAGCTGACATCTCTCCAATTTTGGCTTCCATACCCCAAAGCTGCCAGATTCTTTCGAGGCAGTTCCAGCAAAAGCAAAGACAAGACCTGGGTTCTAACAAGTTTTGCTATTATACTCTAGGCACAAAATAAGGAGAAACGAGGGTAAAAGCCAAGAGTGGGACATCAAGTATGTGTCTAAACTGGTCACCAGCTTGGCTTGTTTTGATTAAATGGGTCAATTAATTTAGTTAGGCTACCAGCCAATGGAGTCAGTAAACCACCAGTTTAACCAATTCTCCCCCAAGAAATGACCAGGAATTTGATGCAATTAACCAAGTCTACTATCTCTCTTGAAGTAGTATAGCTCCTTCTAAAATGATCCATGTGAAACAACTCTTCATCCAAAAGAAAATTAAGAAAGGAAAAAACAATTGCTCATTTTGACACCAACGGTTGGGAAAAACAGGGATGTGAATGGCTCAGGGGAGAGTGGTCTGGACAGGGCTGGAGAGGCGTAGGCAGGTGGTAGTGGGACAACCAGGCAGACCAGATTCAGAGAAAGAATCCAGAATGCAAACCAGGAACCAGGAAAGCGGTCCCCTTATCTGGTCTGGGCCATTGACAGGCTGAGGAACAGGTGCTTCTCCATCCACATCTAGCCTGGAGCTGCAGGTTGACTTCCCAACTGACCCACTGGAGGGGACAAGAATCCTAGTAAATAGTCAGGTCAGGTCACTATAAATGCACAAGCTGGGTAGGAAAGAGCAGCCAGGGCAAAGGTCTTTAGAACATGCAGTGCAGGCTAGTAAAGGGAGGCCCCACCAATAGGAGGTGGGGGAATTTGTAACAGCTGCTATTTATCAAGGGCTTGCTATATACATTCCATGCACTGGACAAACATTTCTCATCCTCACAACCATCCTGTAAGGTACAAAGTGTAATTCCCATTTTAAAAATGAATAAATGTTCAGAAAGATAACACAATGTGTCTCAAAAGTGGCAGAGCCAAGATTCAAACTCAGAACTGTCTGGCTTCAATGCCCAGTTTCTGCGATGACACCTCCCGGTCCAGGGCTCTTCGATCTTCATCAGAGCTGCCTCTCAGTGATAGGCTGCTTGAATAAACACTTCTGTTTCTTCCAGCATCTTCTCATAACTCATTTTTTTCTTTTTTAATCCTGGCTCAGAGGAAGTAAAAGCCCTTTTTTCCATTCACAACCACGAAAGGCTACAACCCCAGAGTAAAGCCACTTTGTCAAGCTAATTCATTTTAAAATAATGTGTACATATGAGAGTACTCTAAAAAGTTTGAAATGATTTAGAAATGGAAGGTAGCATTATTAAAATAATTAACATACTCATCCCAGCAGGCCAACTCATCTGAGAATATTTAAGGGCTGGAATATTACAAATACAAATTATAATGCTGACAAGATGAGACAGCTATAACTACCGCATAGAGTACTTAAGTAAATAATTCAGGTGTATAACTAAAAGTTAACCTTTTTCCTTTCACAAACACAATGTCCATTATACAGAGAACACCCCACGTTGGTGCTGAAGGACTCCTGGGGGTCTAGGGCTGGTGTCAGAAGACCTGGGTTCAAATCCCAGCTCTGCCTCCAACAAGTTGAATGTCCTTAGCCCAGTACTGGACTCCTTCACTTCTCCCCTTTCCTGCCCTTCCTCCATCATCTCAGTTTTCTCATCTGAAAGGTAATTTTCTGAACCAACTAAGAGTGAGGAATTGAAGAGCCAGACTGCGCTTGCTTGGGTTCAGCCTCCACCATTACCAGCATGTGACCTTGAACAAGTTGTTAAACCATTCTATGCCTCCATTTCCTCCTTTCTACAAAGTAATAAAAACAATACCTACCTGCAATAGTTAATTGTATGTGTCAAACTGACTGGGCCACAGGGTGCCCAGATATTTGGTAAAATATTCTTCCTGAGTGTGTCTGTGCGGGCATTTCTGGATAAGATTAACATTTGACCAAATAAAGCAGACTGCCCTCCCCCAGCAGGGGCTGGCCTCATCCAATCTATTGAGGGTCTGAATAGAATAAAAGGCTAAGAAAGACTTCTTTCTCTCTGACTGCCTTCAAGCTGGGACAGTAGTCTCTTGCCTTCAGAGTTGGGCTTGGACTGGAAATTATACCATTGGCTCTCCTGGGTCTGCAGCTTGCCAATTGCTGATCTTGGGCTTCTCATCTCCATAATTGCGTGAGCCAGTTCCTTATTATATGCTATGTATATAATATGTATTATGCATATTACGTTTTATGGTCTTCCCTCAGTATCTATGGGGGATCAGTTCCAGGATCCCTGCAGGTACCAAAATCCCCAGATGCTCATGTCCCTGAGATATAAAGTGGCATAGCATTTGCTTATAAGCTATGCAATTACATCTTCCCGTATACTTTAAATCATCTCCAGATCGCTTATAGTACTTAATACAATATAATACTATGTAAATAGTTGTTCTACCTTATTAGTTTATTATTTGTATCATTTTTTGTTGTACTTTTTTTTTTTTTTTAGATATTTTAGCTCTGAAGTTGGTTGAATCCACAAATGTGGAACCCATGGAAGTTGATGACCAACTGTAATATGTATGTACTATATCTAATATTTTATACACACACACACACACACACATATACATATACATATATATATATACACACACATATATATATATATATATATATATATATATATATATATATATATATATATATCTTATTGGTTCTGTTTCTCTGGAAGGCCTAGACTACTAAATATACTACTTCAGGGTTACTTTGGAATTAAATTAGATAATACTCAGGACTGAGCCTGGCACATGGTAAATCTTCAATAAACATTATATTTGGCCACTAGACATTTAGCATATCAGTCCTATGATCTTTTTTATAGAAAAACCATAAAATATGTAGGAGCAAAATGTTTTTTAAAAGCAACAGAATTGTAAAAATTTAGGTTACTTCACTTGCAACAAGTCTCTTCATTTTCCCTACTATAATACATGTGTGATTTACAGAGACTGTAACTATGGTGACATCTATGAAAAACTACCAAAAAAGAACTGATGTCAGAGTCTCAATTATAGCCCCACTTGCTTTCTCATTTTTGGTTTTACTGTCTTTCTATAAAGCAAATGTCCATTCCATGCCTCTTCAGGTGCCTTTGAACTTGCTGAACTTAATTAGAGCAAGTCAAGACACTAATACTCAGGCATTAGTACTCCAAGTTAATTAGCTAGATACAAGGCAATTCTTCTTACTTTGCAAATCAGAAACACCCTTGGAAAATCTAATAGGAAAGGGCACACATCATTCTGTGCTTATGAGAACAGGCTGAAATACAAAAATCCTGAACTTTTATGATTAATCTTTTATTTTTCTAATTTCCAGAAATGGCACAGCTTTTTATCATTTCTAGGAAATAAAATGATCAAGCTACATTTTACATTGTGAGCCAACATCATTCTATCTTTCCAAATTCAAAAGAATACATGGACAATTCATCAATGATCATCACTGATTATACAAGCTGCTTTATACCTATAATGGTGGCTTTCAAACACACTGGACTTATTGGTGAGACATTTGCATGCCAGAGGATGGGAAATAAGTTTAACTAAAATTCAGGGAACTTCTACCTCAGTAAAATTTCTAGGGGTCCAGTGGCATGGTGCCAGTCAAGATCTTCCTTCTAAGGTGAAGGATAAGTTGCTACATTTGGCCCCTCCTACAACCAAGAAAGAGGCACAATGCCAAGTAGGCCTATTTGGATTTTGGAGGCAACACATTCCTCATTTGGGTGTTTTACTCCAGCCCATTTATTGAGTGACCCAAATGGCTGCTGGTTTTGAGTGGGGCCCAGAACAGGAGAAGGCTCTGCAACAGGTCCAGGCTAGCTCTCTTGTGCAGCTAGCTTGTGCAAGCTGCTCTGCACTTGGGCCATATGACCCAGCAGATCCAACGGACATATGTCCACATGGTTTAGAACCCCACTCCTGGTACCAGTTTACTGCATTCATCTGTTCTCACACTGCTAATAAAGACACACCTTGGACTGGGTAATTTATAAAAGAAAGAGATTTAATTGACTCACAGTTCTACATAGCTGGGGAGGCCTCACAATATGGTGGAAGGCAAAGGAGGAGCAAAGTCACATCTTACATGGCAGTAGGCAAGAAAGCTTGTGCAGGGGAACTCCCATTTATAAAACCATCAGATCTCATGAGACTTATTCACTACCACGAGAACAGTATGGGAGAAACTGCCCCCATGATTCAATTATCTCCACCATATCAGATACCCAGTAGAATCTTTTTAAAAAAATCTGTGTATCACAAACTGTTCAAACTACCTAAAGAATCCTTCTAAGAATACCATATTCTTTTTTTTTTGGTGGCGGGGGGGGCTTTATTTCTTCTAAAAAAAATAAGCAGGATACATGTGCAGAACGTGCAGGTTACATGGGTATACATGTGCCATGGTGGTTTGCTCCACCTATTGACCCATCCTCTAAGTTCCCTCCCCTCACCCCTGACCCCCATAACAGGCCATGGTATGTGTTGTTCCCCTCTCTATGTCCATGTGTTCTCAATGTTCAACTCCCACTTATGAGTGAGAACATGTGGTGTTTGGTTTTCTGTTGCTGTGTTAGTTTGCTGAGGATGATGGCTTCCAGCTTCATCTAAGTCTCTGCAAAGAACATGATCTCATTCCTTTTATGGCTGCATAGTATTCCATGGTGTATATGTGCCACATTTTCTTTATCCAGTCTATAATTGATGGGCATTTGGGTTGGTTCCATGTCTTTGCTATTGTAAATAGTGCTGCAATAAATGTATGTATGCATGTGTCTTTATAGCAGAATGATTTATATTCCTTTGGGTATATATCCAGTAATGGGATTGCTGGGTCAAATGGTATTTCTGATTCTAGGTCCTTGAGGGATCACCATACTGTCTTCCATAATAGTGGAACTAATTTACATTCCCACCAACAGTGTAAAAGCGTTCCTATTTCTCCACAACCTCACCAGCATCTATTGTTTCCTGACTTTTTAATAATCATTCTAACTGGCATGAGATGGTATCTCATTGTGGTTTTGATTTGCATTTCTCTGATGATCAGTGACGTTGAGCCTTTTTTCACATTTGTTGGCCATGTAAATGTCTTCTTTTGATACGTGTCTGTTCATATCCTTTGCCCACTTTTTGATGGGCTTTTTTTCTTGTAAATATGTTTTTGTCTTGTAAATATGTTGAAGTTCCTTGTAAGTTCTGACCTTTGTCAGATGAGTAGATTGCAAAAATTTTATCCTATTCTGTAGGTTGCCTATTCACTCTGATGATCAGATGATAGTTTCTTTTGCTGTGCAGAAGCTCAATTTAATTAGATCCCATTTGTCAATTTTGGCTTTTGTTGCAATTGCTTTTGGCGTTTTTGTCATGAAGTCTTTGCCCATGCCTATGTCCTGAATGGTATTGCCTAGGTTTTCTTCTAGGGTTTTTATGGTTTTAGGTTTTACATGTAAGTGTTTAATCCATCTTGAGTTAATTTTTGCATAAGGTATAAGGAAGGGGTCCAGTTTCAGTTTTCTGCATATGGCTAACCAGTTTTCCCAGCACCATTTACTGAACAGGAGATCCTTTCCCCGTTGCTTATTTTTGTCAGGTTTTTTGAAGATCAGATGGTTGTAGATGTGTGGTGTTATTTCTGAGGTCTCTGTTCTGCTTCATTGGTCTATATGTCTCTTTTGGTACCAGTACCATGCTGTTTTGGTTACTGTAGACTTGTAGTATAGTTTGAAGTCAGGTAGCATGATGCCTCCAGCTTTGTTCTTTTTGCTTAGAATTGTCTTGAAGAATGCCCATATTTTTGTCTTCAGTTTAGATCATGGAAATAGGAGGAAAAGATATGTTTATTTCCCTTCAGAATCTCAGCAGCTTTACAGAGGACAAAATTATCATCATGCCCAGAAAGAACACACAAAATTAATATCCAGAATCTACAAAGAACTTAAACAAATTTACAAGAAAAAAAAACCCATATCCATTTAAGAAACCCATTTGGTACTGCATTCTCAAACACATATTCAAATAAAATTTACCAAAACCAAATCCTAATTGTAAGTCACCATGAGTCAGGGTCAAGTAAAGTGAGATTTCCCTAGTGCTGAGAGGTGACAGTGTGCTGGCAGTCCTCACAGCCCTCGTTTGCTCTCGGCGCCTCCTCTGCCTGGGCTCCTACTTTGGCGGCACTTGAGGAGCACTTCAGCCCACCGCTGCACTGTGGGAGCCCCTTTCTGGGCTGGCCAAGGCCAGAGCCCACTCCCTCAGCTTGCGGGGAGGTGTGGAGGGAGAGGTGCGAGCGGGAACCGGGACTGCGTGCAGAGCTTGTGGGCCAGCTGGAGTTCCGGGTGGGCGTGGGCTTGGCAGGCCCCGCACTCGGAGCAGCCGGCCTGCCATGCCGGCCCCGGGCAATGAGGGACTTAGCACCCGGGCCAGTGGCTACGGAGGGCGTACTGGGTCCCCCAGCAGTGCCAGCCCACCAGCGCTGAGCTCGATTTCTCGTCGGGCCTTAGCTGCCTTCCCGTGGGGCAGTCCTTGGGACTGCAGCCCACCATGGCTGAGCCTTCCCCGGCCTCCCTGGGTTCCTGTGCAGCCCGAGCCTCCCCGATGAGCACCGCCCCCTGCTCCACGGCGCCCAGTCCCATCGACCACCCAAGGGCTGAGAAGTGCAGGTGCACAGCACTGGGACTGGCAGGCAGCTCCACCTGCAGCCCCGGTGCGGGATCCACTGGGTGAAGCCAGCTGGGCTCCTGAGTCTGGTGGGGCCTTGGAGAACCTTTATGTCTAGGTCAGGGATTGTAAATACACCAATCAGCACTCTGTATCTAGCTCAAGGTTTGTAAACACACCAATCAGCACCCTGTGTCTAGCTCAGGGTTTGTGAGTGCACCAATCGACACTCTATATCTAGCTACTCTGGTGGGGCCTTGGAGAACCTTTGTGTCGATACGCTGTATCTAACTAATCTGATGGGGACATGGAGAACCTTTGTGTCTAGCTCAGGGATTGTAAACACACCAATCAGCGCCCTGTCAAAACAGACCACTCGGCTCTACCAATCAGCAGGATGTGGGTGGGGCCAGATAAGAGAATAAAAGTAGGCTGCCAGAGCCAGCAGTGGCAATCCGCTCGGGTCCCCTTCCACACTGTGGAAGCTTTGCTCTTTCGCTCTTTGCAATAAATCTTGCTACTGCTCACTCTTTGGGTCCACACTGCTTTTATGAGCTGTAACACTCACCGCGAAGATCTGCAGCTTCACTCCTGAAGCCAGCGAGCCCACGAGCCCACCAGGAGGAACGAACAACTCCAGATGTGCTGCCTTAAGAGCTGTAGCACTCACCGCAAAGGTCTGCAGCTTCACTCCTGAGCCAGCGAGACCACGAACTCACCAGAAGGAAGAAACTCCGAACACATCTGAACATCAGAAGGAACAAACTCCAGACGCGCCACCTTAAGAGCTGTAACACTCACCGCGAGGGTCCACGGCTTCATTCTTGGAAGTCAGTGAGACCAAGAACCCACCAATTCCGGACACAGTGCTACTTCAAAAGTTGATTCAACAAATATTAATAGGCCACCTACAATGTGAACAGCACGGTGCTATATGTTTGGGTCTGCAGTGGTGAACAAAACAGAAATACCTCCTGCCCTCCCAGGGCTGCTTCTGACAGGTTGAGGTAAGTTTGGTCCTAGAACATGACCATGGCTGCCTACATGACTCTACAGGATGCTGACATCCCAGAGATCCATTAGGGAACCAAGACAAAAGCAGAGAAAGGGCAGACTTAAATTGTTTCCACAGCTCTGGGAGAAACTGCTTCAAAGCTTCACCATACTTTGCTTATAAAAATGAAACTCTGCAAAAATATTTAAATGTAAAATCGCTTTTCAAATTGAAGAAGAAATAATTGGCCAGATCTTACCTAATGAGTTATCAAAGGATAGCCTCAGGGCAAGTTCAGGCCTTTTGGATGTACAGTTTCCCTACATGTTGAAATGTTTTATTAGTCAAAGGAAAAAGACTCAGATTATATAACATTCACCCCACCTACATCACCCCAAATATGACTTATTACAGAAAAGAGTCTGTTCAAGCATTTCCCAAAAATATGTTGGGAAAAATAGGTCCTATAGGTGGAGGGAGAGAGGGAGGGAGGGAGAGAGGGAGGGAGGGAGGGAAGGATGAAAGGAAGGGAGGGAGGGAGAGAGGGAGGGAAAGAAGGGAGGTAGGTGGGGAAATACTGCAAAAATATTCTCTTCTTAGAGATTCATAATGAACATTATCATAACAAACTTAAAATCCTGGTGGAGGGAGGGAGGAGAGAGGGAGGGAGGGAAGGGAGGAACGGAGGAGAGAGGGAAGGGAGGAAGGAAGGAAGGAAGGAAGGAAGGAAGGAAGGAAGGGAGGGCAGAGCAGAGCTGCCACATGATCTGATGGGTTTGAACAGGATCTCTCTGGTTGCTGTTTCATACAGAAGAGATGGTGAGGGGTAGGAGAAGAAGCAGGAAGAGGGAGACCAATTAGTAGGCTACTTCAGGATTCCACTCACAAATCAGTGATTTGGGTCCAGATGACTGCAGTGGAGGCTGTGAGCAGGGATCCAAGTCCAGATATATGAAGGCAGAGCCGGGTGGAGTAGGGGAAAGAGAGAGATCAAAGACAACACCAAGATTCCTGGCCTGAACAATGGAAGGAGGGGGACGTTCAGGGTAGAAGAGATACAAAGGAAAGAGGTCTAGGCTGAACCCTGAGGAAGGTTAATGTTTAGAGGTCATGAAGATGAAGAGGGATCCACAAAGGAGACTGAGAAGAACCATGAAATCATGGCAGCTGGAAAGCAGCTCCACGGAGAACAAGTGATCCTTCCTTAAATGCTGCCGTGAGGGCAATACATTGAGGACCGAAAATGGACCACTGGATTTGACAGATTGGGAGGTCACTGGTGACCTCGATAAGAGCAACCCTGGAATAGTAAGGAGGAAAGACTGATTGGAGTGGGTTCAAGAGGGAATGGGAAACTCAAGAACAAAAAGACAAGCAACCCGATTTTTAAATGGGCAGAAATGTGAATAGACATTTCTCTGAAGATATACAAATGGTCAATTCGCCACTTGGGAAATGCAAATCAAAACCACAATGAGGGCTGGGAACGGTGGCTCACACCCATAATCCCAGCACTTTGGGAGGCCGAGGTGGGCGGATCACTTGAGGTCAGGAGTTTGAGACCAGCCTGGCCAACATGGTGAAACCCCATCTCTACCAAAAATACAAAAATTAGCAGCGGGTAGTGGTGGGTGCCTGTAATCCCAGGTACTTGGGAGGCTGAGGCAGGAGAATCGCTTGAACCTGGGAGGCGGAGGTTGCACTGAGTCGAGATTGCACCATTGCACTCCAGCCTGGGTGACAAGAGCAAAACTCTGCCTCAAAAACAAAAAACAAAACGAGATACCACCTCACACCCACTAGGGTGGAGAAATAGGAACACTTTTACACTGTTGGTGGGAGTGTAAACTAGTTCAACCATTGTGAAAGACAGTGTGGCAATTCCTCAAGGATCTAGAACTAGAGATACCATTTGACCCAGCGATCCCACTACTGGGTATATACCCGAGGGATTATAAATCATGCTACTATAAAGACACATGCACACATATGTTTATTGCAGCACTATTCACAATAGCAAAGACTTGGAACCAACTCAAACGTCCATAAATGATAGACTGGGTTAAGAAAATGTGGCACATATACACCATGGAATACTATGCAGCCATAAAAAAGGATGAGTTAATGTCCTTTGTAGGGACATGGATGAAGCTGGAAAACATCACTCTGAGCAAACTATCGCAAGGACAGAAAACCAAACACCACATGTTCTCACTCATAGGTGGGAACTGAACAGTGAGAACACTTGGATACAGGGCGAGGAACATCACAAACTAGGTCCTGTCGTGGGCGGGGGGATGGGGAGGGAGAGCATTGGGAGAAATACCTAATGTGAATGACGAGTTGATGGGTGCAACAAACCAAATGGCACATGTATACATATGTAACAAACCTGCACGTTGTGCACATGTACCCTAGAACTTAAAGTATAATTTTTAAAAAAACAGGAAATTATAAACGTTGACAAAGAGGTAAGGAAATATAAGGAAATCAGAACACTTGTACATTACCGGTGGTAATGTAAACTGGCCCAGCCACTTGGTCCAAGCTGCAAACAGTTTGGTGGCTCCTTTAAAAGTGAAACAGAACTACCATATGACCCAGCAATTCCACCCCTAGGTATGCACCCAAGAGAACTGAAAACATATGTCCACACAAAAACTTGTACATTCATATTTATAGCAGCACTGGTCACCATAACCAAAAGGTGGAAACAACCAAATGTCTATCAGTGGACGAACTGATAAGCAAAATGGGCTAGATACATACAATGAAACATTACTAACCAATAAAAGGAAATGAAATTCTGATGCATGCTACAACATGGATGAACCTTGCAAACATTATGCTAAATGAATTAAGTTCACATATTGTATGGCTCTAATTATATAAAATATACAGAACAAGTAAATCCATAGACACGGAATGCCAATTTGTGGTTGCCAAACACTGCAGGGGAGAGAAGAGAGGGTGACTACTTAACTAGTAAGGGGGTTGCTTTCAGAATAATGAAAAGGTTTCAGAAGTGGATAGATGTAGTGGCTGCATAACATTATAAATGCTACTGAGTTGTACACTTTAAAACACCAAAATGATGACTTCTATGGTAAGTGGATTTCACCTCAATTAAGAAAAAAAGAGAAAGAATTGGGAAGTGAGGAACCGGAGACAGCCTGTAAGGAAATTATTTCAAGGGGGTTTGCTGAAAAAGAGGAAGGAGAAATAGGGACGGAGGGAGTATAGCAGCGAAGGGGGATGCATGGCCAAGGGAGGGCTTTCCTAACATGGAGAAATGGAAGACAAATCAGCATGCATATCTATGATGGGAGAGGAGCATACTGAGCAGGGGGAACTGCTGGCAGGAGGACCCCGACAGCCTGAGAGGGGATATTGTCTCCCACAAAGGGATCAGAGATGGTTCATCCTCAAAGGGAGAGAAGGCAGGATTCAGGCAGCCAGGTTAAGGCAGTGGTAAGGGCTTGTGGAAATCCTCTTCTACCTGTTTTTTCTTGGGAGATGGGGAGATTTTGTGAGGAAGAGAAGGTATGAAGCAGTCACCCTAGAGAATGGGCAGATGACTGTGCTAGGGAAATAGAGTGGCATTGCTGGGCAGCACCAAAGGCCCACTTGAGGTTCATGGTATAAACTGATGAGACTAATGAGCCTGGTCGTGTGGTTTTCTACCGCCCATTTAGTTGCCTGGGTAAAGGTGGAGAGCTACTGAATTTAATATTTATCCCTAAGTTTCCCCAAAACACATTTGACCACAGAAACCAATTAATAGCCCCAAAGAGCCTACATAAAATGCTAGTCTATGCTTAAACAGATAATAGGGGGTAGGAAAACACTGATTCCTAATTTTCTATCAAGCACAGATATAAATGATAATGGAGGGGCCAGATCTGGAGGCCCTCAGGGGAGCACCCACCAAGGGCAAAGGAGAAAAGATCAGCACAGCTGTCAGAACCTGAGCTTGCAGTCAGATTTCCACTCCATCCAAGTGCTCTTGGGCAAATGAATCTCTCTGAGATGTATCCTAAAATAAGGGAACTATCACCTACCTGCTTTTCAAAAATATTATTAAGATTAATGGTGACAAGCAGTTGGTACCCAGATTCTAGCACATAACAAACTTTCAATCTAAGGGTAATCATCATTATAGCCCCACAGCTCTGCCCAGGTGACCAGGTGAAAGATGATACAGCCAAAATACTATCACCTCCAGGTACTCAACCACCTGTGCACCAGGAGGGCCTCTGGGGATCTCAAAGAGTTAACCCTCCTTGCTCTCAATTTATGGTCAGGAACTCCATCAGTCAAGATACAGTTTGACTCCTTTAGCTTCAGAAAATTGGTCTTTCTAGCTCCTAAATTCATATGCAAGAAATGAAACCCCCTCTACTTCCCATAAAACAGGATATTTCACAAAGCTTTCATGTGTCCCAGTATCATGTTTTTAACTTCTGAAAAAACTTCAGACTCATAGAAAATTACCAAAGCAGAGAGTGCAGAGAGTTCAATACGCTTCACTTGGCTTCCTCTACTGTTAATATCCTACATAACCATAATACAATTACCAAAACCAAGAATATAACACTGATAAATTTATATTAACTACTCTAGACCTTATTTGAATGTTGCTAACTTTGTCTCTAATGTCCTTTTTCTGATGCAGAATCCAATCCAGGGTCCCACATTGCATTTAGTTCTCAAGTCTCCTTAGCCTCCACCAATCTGTGACAGTTCCTCAGTCTTTCTTTGTCTTTCATGACCTTGCCATCTGTGAAGAGGACTGACTAGTCAGGTATTTTGTAGAACTGCCCTTAATTTGGGTTTGTCTGGTGTTTTCTCGTGCTTAGACTGAACTTGTGCATTTTCAGTAAAAATCCCAAAGAAGTGATGTTTTGCCTTTTGCTCTGTGCATCAAAATAAGGAGAACATGTTGACACATCTCATTACTGGTGATGTTATCTTTGATTACTTTATTTGGCTAAAGTAGTGTTTGCTGGGTTTCTCCATCCATATGACGTGTGATGCAAAGTGAAATAGAATTCCAGCCTTTCCTAATAATAGCGGAAATAAGCAGATGTTTTCATCTACGTACAGCAAGTGAGAGGACTTGAACTCAGGTTTTCCAAGTCCAAATGCTGTCTTCATTGTACTCTCATTACTGCATTTGGATGTCTCCCATGAATATTTATCTCAAGTATATTTCAAAGCTTATGTTCCATAAGGAAATGCCACAACAAATCACTCTTATGAGCCCAGGGCTTCTCCAATGAAAGCTACAGTACAAAGTATAAAACACAGTTGTCAGAGAAACAGATATTAACATGAAGATCCCTTGATACATCACAGTGACACAGGAACATTCTCAATGACTGCACTTTATTTGCTGCAAGTACAGAGAACAAATCAGCAGAGAATGAGTCAACCAAGAGAACCAAGAGTCCTCTAATTGACAAAATTTTAAAATAGGACTTGAGGACCAAGAAGAAGAGCTGTAAGAAACACAAGGTAAGTTCTCTTCTGCTCTAGATACTAACGTATATACAAATCTTCAAATCAATTAACTCATCTTAGGCTCTGAAAAGCTCCTTGAGATGGAATTAGAGCACATATTAACATCTCCACCCTACAAATGAATAAAATAAGACATAAAGAGATCAAAGTTTGGTATCTAGAAAGGGAATCAAAATCAAGGTTTTATTTGTTCATTCATTTAACTAGCACTGACTCCCTGCCAACTTTCTATTCTAAGTGCTGGGCATTTGGAGATACTGGAGACCCATGGTCTCTTGACTGGAGGAGTTTAGCTTTCCTCATGCCCTCTGTACAGAGGCCAGAAAGGCAGCACCTCTCCCAACCTCATTCTTCACCTCCTCACCACACAGAGTCCACAGCCATCAGGATTCTACAGAAGCAGGCTGCATCTGTGATGATACTTGGAGAGGAGTATATTTCAATACTCTGTATTTAAAACTTGAACAAAGATCATCATTCTCCTGGTTTATTCTCTTCTGTTTGCCCTTCTCATCAGTACCCAGAGTAGAGCATGTATGAGGGGACTCAAAAAGTTCATGGTAAAAATGAAATTAAAAGATAAAAATACAAAATTTATTTCTTAACATAAGCTCTATCAAGGTCAAGACACTTTTGTAAGTGGTGACATCAGTCATTCAGTGCATCTCTAAAGAACTGAGGGTCCTAGGAATTTAACCATGTCAATGCTGTATTTTTACATTATTAAATGAAGAAAAATGAGTGCCCTCTAAAGATTTTTTTTAAGATTAGGAAACAAAAACAGGCAGAAGGAGCCAAATTAAGACTGCAAGGTGGATGTATAATGGTTTCCCATAGAAACTCTTGCAAAGCTGCCTTTGCTTGATGAGAGGAATGAACTTGTTGTGGTGAAGAAGGACTCTCAGATAAAGCTTTCACAGGTATTTTTCTGCTAAAGCTTTGGCCAACTTTCTCAAAACTCTCATAACAAGCAGATGTTATCATTCTCTGGCCCAGAAAGTCAATAAGCAAACTGCCTTGAGCATCACAAAAAAACGTTGCCATGACCTTTGCTCTTGATCAATCTGCTTTTGCTTTGTCTGGACCACCTCCACCTCTTGCTAGCCATTGCTTTGATTGTGCTTTGTCTTCAGGATTGTACTGGTGAAGCCATGTTTCATCCTCTGTTACAATTCTTCCAATTCTTTTTTTTTTTTCCAAGACAGAGCCTCATTCTGTCACCAAGGCTGGAATGCACTGGCATGATCACAGCTCAAGGCAGCCTCAACCTCCTGGGCTCAGGCAATCCTCCTGCCTCAGCCTGCAGACTAGCTGAGACCACAGGCACATGCCACCATGCCCAGCTAGCTTTTATTATTATTTGTAGAGACAGCATCTCGCTATGTTGCCCAGGCTGGTCTCAAATTCCTAGGCTGAAGCAATTCTCCTGCCTTGGCCTCCCAAAGTGCTCGAATTACAGGCATGAGCCACCGCACTCAGCCTTCTGTTACAATTCTTCAAAGAATGACTTTAGAATCTGGATCTCACTTGTATAAAACTTCCACTGAAAGCTCTGCTCTTATCTGCAGCTGACCTGGGTGCAACAAATTTGGCACCCATTGAGTAGAAAGTTTGTTCAACTTTAATTTTTCAGTCAGATTTGTGTAAGCTGAGCAAAATGAGAAGTCTATGGTGTTGGCTACTGTTTCTGCTGTTAATCATCAGTCCTCTTCAATGAGGGCATGAATAAGATTAATTTTTCCTCACAGATTAATGTGAATGCTCTGCCACTGCAAGTTGCATCTTTACCATCACCTCATTCCTTCTTAAAACCAGTTATCCATTTATAAACTGCTGATTTCTATGAGGCATTGTCCCCATCAACTTTTCATAAAATATAAATGATTTCACCACCCCTCCACCCAAGCTTTACCATAAATCTGATGTGTGTTCTTGCCTCAATTTTAGCAGAATTCATGTGGCTCTGATAGGGGCTTTTTTCAAATTGATGTCCTAACCCTTTTAGTGTCTCAAACTAGATCCTATTGAAACATGTTACAACAAGTTAGTATGAGTTTATTTTTGTGCAAAAAAGTTGAAATGTATGCATAGTTTTTTATATACACATTTCCCATGAAATTTCTGAAGTCCTCGCATATTTTCACATGTAATAAAAGGCCAAACCAGCAAAGAAATTGTTTCAGCACCACACACAGATAAATCAATCGCATTTACATCACTCAACTAACACTTCTTGTGTACTTAATATAGGCCAGGTACAGGGGGAACCAAATTGATGGATTTAAGACAGGCTCAGCCATCCAGAAACCTATACAATTGGTAGGGGCTATGATCACATACACAACAGCCATAAGGGCAGTGCCATTTTGTGTGATACGCCATTGAGTTTTTAACACTTAAAAACTTTAAAAAGTCATAAGCCTTCCTTTTTTTTCTTTTTCATGGCAACATCCACTGACTATACCTCATTATCTATTGTATACATGCCATATATTGTAAATTCAACTCAGAAAGAGGAGTGAGCATAGGGAGGGGTGAAAAAGGCATCTTACAGTTGATCAAAATATAAGGACTGCCATCTCATTTTTAAAAGAAAAAACACAATCTCTAAGAAGAAAGGAAGAAGGAAAGAAAGGAGGGAAGGAAGGAAGGAGGGAGGGAGGGAGAGGAGGGGGGGAAGGGGGGAGGGGGGAAAGGGGGAAGGGAGGGGAGGGAGGGAAGGGAGGGAGTCCATTCAGCTAAGGAGAGTCTCAAGGAGGAAGTAGCTTCTGAGGAAGACCTAGAAGGACAGAAGATTTCTAGCAGGGGAGTAAGTGTGAGGGAGCACTCCTGGTGCAGCAGTGGATCAAGAAAAGTGACAAAGGGGAAAGAAAGTACAAGACATGCCCTAGAAACTAAGAATACAATGTATTGGGGAAGGAATACACAGGGCAGTGGTTGTTTTATCACATGTGTGCCTTGGAGTCACCTTGGGATGCTTATGAACTATCCTGTGCCCCACTCCCAGGGATTCCAATTCAAGAGATCGAAAGTGTGGATCCTGGGCATCCACAGGTATACCCGGATCTTGGATGACATTTGCAGAATCAGTAGTAAAGGGGCATGGAGAGAGGCCTGGCAGGAGAGGAGGCCAAGCTTGGCTATAGGACATGGACTTCATGGGGGAGGGATAGCACAAACAAGTGTCATGCAATTGCCATGATGAGAATTATACTTGAGGAGGGTGATTCTCAAAGTACGGTCCCCAGACCAATAGCAGCAGCAGCATCTGGAAACTTGTTAGGAAATGCAAATTCTCAAACCCCACCTCAAATCCACTCAATCAACTCTTGGTAGCAGGGGAGCCATGAGGGGATCCAGCAATCTGTGTTTTAACAAACCCTCCAGTAATTGTGATGCCTACACGTGTTTGAGAAGCACCACTCTGAGTTCACACTGGTACTGATGTATGATGGCCAAAATTCTATTAAAACTCCCACCAACTCCATCCCCAGGAAATCTGCATTATTATTGATGTTATTGTTATTCAGCCCTTCCTTCCTCAAAACATGGAGAACAGACTTAAACCAGTATATATTTGGATTACTTATTCATCTGCTTTATAAATCACTAACATTCAATGTTTGACCAAGGTTCTGTAAATGTATTAAAAGGAAAGTGTTAAGTCAGTACTTCTCAAACTTTAACATGCACACAAATCACCTGGAGATCTTGTTAAAATGCAGGTCCGCATCTGTAAGTTCTGAAGCAGGGCCTAGGATTCTGCATTTCTAACAAGCTCTCAGGTAGTGATGCTATGCGGCTGGCCTACGGCCCACACTGTGGGTAGCAAGAAATTGCATGGCTCTAGAAATCTAAAAGCTCCTGTCATGGGACACCATCTTCCCACCAGGGGAGCTTTCCTCTCCGATCTGCTCACCCCCACCCCATAATCTACTGCTACAGCCCCAGTGCACACACTTCCCACCCCCACCCACCCATCCCCCTTTCTTCTAATTAGCCTCTGAGTCAATACTTGCATCAGTGCAATCTTCCCCTCCATCCCCTGAGTGAGAAGAGCAGTGAAGCAGGGCTTTCTGTGCCTGTGATGACAGTGGAGGGAATTAATGCACTTCCCCAAGCACTCTCCTTGTACCTCCAGAGAGACTTTTCCAGGTGGGAGGATCCAGTTCATTTGTTTGCAGAGCTAACTATCCATTATTTAAAACATAAACTTATTAGCTTTAGTTTCATTTGAGGCTGCAAATCAATAGGCATTCCTCAGGGCCGGAGGGACCCTTGTCACCCTCCCATGGGTTCCATCCATCGAGAATAGTCAAAATCCCAGCTGGGACCACTGCATTAACTCAATGAAAAAATGTGATGATTGCAGACAGTACATCCCTAACAGGTGGGAATCGAGGTTTCATCTTGCTGTATACCACACCCATTGTCTGCTCATCATATATTTCGTGGTTATGAAACGTTTATGCTAACAAAACTGCAGAGTTGCAGTCCAGACTTAGCTGTAAATATTTATTAACCATGGCCATTCAGCTTCTCTTTGACTTCAGGGCCCATTCTCTGAACTTCCCTGCTGGGTGGTTCAGTCCTCACTCTCTTCACTTCTCCCTAAAACGGTAGTTCTTATATAAGGCTGTTTTATGAAAATCCATACAACTTCTTCAGAACAGCTTAACTAAAATTAATAAAATAGTTCTGGCTGGGCACAGTGGCTCACGCCTGTAATCCTAACACTTTGGGAGGCCAAGGTGGGTGGATCACTTGGACCCAGGAGTTCAAGACCAGCCTGAACAATATGGTGAGCCCTTGTCTCTGCAAAAAATAAAAATAATCCAAGCATGGTGAACTGTGCCTGTAGTCCCAGCTACTCTAGAAGCTGAGGTGGGAGGGTTGCTTGAGCCTGAGAGGTCGAGGTTGCAGCGAGCTAGGATAGTGCCACTCCAGCCTGGGCAACAGAGTAAGATCCTGTCTCAAAAAAAAAAAAAAAACAAAAAAAAAACTTTGAGATACAAACCAAGATTCTTAACATTTCAGTTCGATGTGTGGGAAGTAGCTTTGCCAATGCTCCTTCTGTGCACAAGATCATAAAATGATGAGTTAATCACTAGGGGATATTTACCACAAATAGTGTCAGATGATATACTGTAAAATTTATGCAGCTAAAAGCTCCAGTGTACAATATAATCTAAAGAGATGGCTCAGATGTTCTGGACTTATTAGGCCAGTGCCACTGTTTATTACAAGGAAGCCTAATATTATAATACGGTCTCTTTGAACACTTCCTGCTGAAAAAAATAAAGCTATTCATATATATATATGTATGTATGTATGTATGTATGTATGTATGTATGTATGTATGTATGTATAACATTTTTTTTAAAGACAGTCTTGCTCTGTTGCCCAGGCTGGAGTGTAGTGGCATGATCTTGGCTCACTGCAACCTCCGCTTCCTGGGTTCAAACGATTCTCCCACCTCAGCCTCCCGAGTAGCTAGGGTTACAAGCGTGTGCCACCATGCCCAGCTAATTTTTGTATTTTTTAGTGGAGATGGGGTTTCACTATGTTGACCAGGCTGGTCTCAAACTCCTGACCTCAAGTGATCCGCCCACCTCGGCCTCCCAAAGTGCTGGGATTACAGGTGTGAGCCACTGTACTCGACCCATATTATATTTAATGCATACACTCAAAAAAAGAGAAAAAAAGATAGCACTATTCTGATGAAGGACGGGGGGAAATCCCAAAGAGTAATAAATCTGACTATAAGGAAAAGACGAGGGAAAACAGGCCAAGAATAGAAATACATTGTGCCTACAAAATGGATCCAAGAACCACCAACATATCCATAGTGTAAGCAGAAACCATCAAGTATAAAGATTGGCTGATAAAAATGTCAAGGTATCATTATAATTAGAGAGCTATCCACCAGGCTCATTACTCAATTCTCATAAAGCTTGCCACTCAACACCAAAGAGAAAATCATTTTTTTGGTTAGCCATTTTATTTCTAAGTTGAGAGGAAAATGTAAAGGAAAACCATAAAGAAATGTAGGGAGGCGGGGCATGGTGGCTCATGCCTGTAATCCCAGCACTTTGGGAAGCTGAGGCAGGTGAATTACTTGAGGTCAGGAGTTCGAGACCAGCCTGGCCAACACAATGAAACCCTGTCTCTACTAAAAATACAAAAATTAGCCAGGCACAGTGGCAAGTGCCTGTGGTCCCAGCTACTCAGGGGGCTGAGGCAGAGTTGCAGTGAGCCAAGATCACACCACGACATTCCAGCCTGGGTGACAGAGCCAGACCCTATCCCAAACACCCCACCCCACCCAAAAAAAAAAAAAAGCTAGGAATGCAACATACTGACATAAAGGGCCAGAACAGCCCAGGCTCTTTTCCAGCTCCCCCTAGAAACAGGATGTCCTTCAATGCTTTAGCCCAGCAAGGCACATTGCACTAGGATATAAAATCTTGGTCAGGCTGCTTTCTGGGGTCCCTCAGCTGCCATCCAAGTGGGTTATACACAAACAAGCCTCCATCCACCCCAGGTAACTTTCCTGAACTACAGAAGAATGGTTTGCAATGAATCCTAGGCTCCTGTGGTCCCTCGCTGCCTATATGTAAGGAATAAATCCAACTCATGAAACTTGTTTGTTACGAGGCGAGGTTGTTACGTTGGGGTGTTCTATCTCACTGGATTCAGACTCAGTGGTGACCAGTGTGCAGTGAACCTGCTTCACACAGACCCAGACACAGCAGAGCCCCAAAGGCGATTAAACTTTCCAAGAGGACAGGGCCTTGTCTGCCATCTCCTCTAGCATACCTACCTCCTAGTGCCCAGACCCCATGCCAGGCCTCTGGTATTAATTCAATGTCTCCAGAGAAACAAGTGAAAGATTCCACAGGCCTCTCAGCATATGAACCACAGTGAGTAATTAATCTGTGTAAAGACATCAGGCGGTGTCTGTTCATTTATTCAACTAATATTTATGAAAGCCTATTCTAGGTGCCAGGTCATACCAGCCAACAAAATTAAGACCCTGCCCTCATTGGTCTGATATTCTAGTTGAGAAAGCAAACAATAAACACAATATATATGACCTATAGCGAATATTGTTATAAAGAAAACCAAAGCAGAAAAAGAGGGATAGGAACCAGGTGTGGTGGCTCACGCCTGTAATCCCAGCACTTTGGGAGGCTGAGGTGGACGGATCACTTGAGGTCAGGAGTTTGAGACTAGCCTGGCCAACATGGCAAAACCCTGTCTCTACTAAAAATATAAAAAATTAGCTGGGCGTGGTGGTGGGCACCTGTAATACCAGCTACTCAGGAGGCTGAGGCACAAGAATCGCTGGAACCCAAGAGGCGAAGGTTGCAGTGAGCTGAGATTGTGTCACTGCACTCCAGCCTGGGCGACAGACTGAAACTGTGTAGAAAAGAAACAAAAAACAAAACGACAGAAGGACAGAAGGAAGGAAGGAAAAGAAAATCAAAGCAGGAAAAGAGGGATGGGGAGCTCCCTAGAGTAGGATGGTTACAGAGGAAATCTCTAGTGAACATTTGAGCAGAAACCCGAGGATGTGAGAAATGCAGCCATGAGATGTTGGAGGGAAAAGCATCACCAGGCAGAGGTAACAGCAATGGCAAAGCCCCTGCAAGGAGGCCAGATGCAGAGACAGTGGATGGAATAAAAGACATGGCTGAAAGTCGGGGGCAGGTCATGCAAGGCAATTATTCTTCAAGCTGGGGATCATAACCCACTCGTGAGTCATGAAATCAATTTAGTAGGTGATAACCAGCACCTTTAAAATGAAATAGAACAGAATAAAACAGAAAATACCAGTGTGCAGCGCCTACAGTGAGGCTAAGTACTATTTGGTGAAACTTGGATGATACTGGGTGGGAGGCAGGGTGGGGGGTGTCATGCGCATGCTGTGTGCCTGTGCGGCAGTGCCACATAAAATCTGCTTCTTTTACTGAACTACGATCAGAAAGTTTGAAAAACGTGAATGTAGTACTTTACAGATCTGTATTGTCCGATGTTGTATGTGCCAGCCACATATGGCTATTTAAATTTAAATTAATAAAGATTGAACAAAATTTAAAATTTAATTTCTCAGTTGCATTAACCACATTTCAAGAGCTGAATAGCCACATGTGGCTGGTGGCTTCTGTATTGGACAACACAGATAGAACATTTCCATCAAATGCAGAAAGTTCTCTTGAGGAGCAAGTTACAGAGCATTCTCTTTGAGTCTGTGACCCCTCTAATGTCACCTGATAAAATTACAGGTGTGTGCAGGATGAGCAGATGAATGAGTTTTCTGAATAGAAGGCTCTGAATTTATATTGCCTCATAATCCAGCTGGCATCCAGCTGAAGGTAAAACCAAAATATACTGAAAATCACGGAGTCCTACCAGCCATAGGCATGTGCTGGTAAGAGTTAGTTGGCTTTAATTTCATTCTCCATAAAGTGACTATTACTAAATAACCATCCCTTGTTTGTTTTGAATCACGGATGTCCCTTACAATCCAAAGAGAATTGGTTCCAGGGCCCCTAAGGATACCGAAGTCCACAGATGCTCAAGTCCCTTATATAAAATGGTGTAGTATTTGCATATAACCTACACACATCCTCCCATATGGTTTAAATCATATCTACATTATTTATAATACCTAATGAAATGTAAATGCTATGTAAATAGCTGTTATCCTGTATTGTTTTCTAATTTGCATTATTTTTATTGTTGTGTTGGTTTTTTTTTTCAAACATTTTTGAGCTGCAAGTTGGTTGGATCTGCAGATATGAAGAGCCGACTACATAAAGATTTACTAGGGAAGAAAACTACAAAATCTACAGAATCTCAAAGAAGAGCTGTTCGGGAATGGAACAGCTGACCAATTACAACAGTGTAATAATTAAAAATTCATTTCTTGGCCCTGAGGAAGGTCTGAAACCAAATCCAAGGAACAATAAATACTCCCATATGGAACTCTAACAGTTACCAATGAGCGTTATCTTCAGGAGTCCTGTGGCCCAAGAAGGCGGTGACACATCACATGGAGGGTTTTCAGGACGCGTAACTCAGGGGTGGTCACCTGCCTCAGGACAGTCCTCCCCCTATGGTGTCTGGGGCTGCCTGCTGTTTGAAAAGAGCCTTTTTATTGGTTGGTTGGTTGGTTGATTAGTTTATGACAGGGTCTCATTCTGTCACCCAGCCTGCAGTGCAGTGGTGTGATTACATCCCACTGCAGCCTTGACATCCCTGGTCTTTTAAATACTGATAAGTCCGCTTGAATCCAGGAGGCAGAGGTTGCAGTGAACCGAGATCACGCCACTGCACTCCAGTGAGCCGAGATCACACCACTGCACTCCAACCTAGGCAACAAGAGTGAAACTCCGTCTCAAAAAAATAAATAAATAAAAATAAATGCTGATAAGTCATCAGTGTTTGCTGGCTTCTTCATTTTGGCTCTCTCTCATGGCAACAATATAAAGGAAAAAAGCTCAAGGATATAAGGGTCCCATCTTGGGCTCTGACTTGCCATGTAGCTTACTTAGGAAGGTAAAATGACCGTATCCACCTGCGCAGTACAGACCAAGAAGAGGACACAGGCTTGGCTGTTCCACTCGGGTATCCTAAACAGATGCTGCTTCCTCTCAGAACCAGAAGGAGCAGTGTTTGAGTTCACGCCTTCCACTGCAACAGGACCTTGGCCCCCACTTTCAACTTCAGGCCTGGGTGACACATTTGTTTGCTGGTCCAAGTAGAGGCAGGATCCCCAATGAGCATGTTCCCCAGGGACAGTACAGCGACACATTCTGAAGCCAAATTCAGAACTGGTAGCCTGATCCCTAAGACTGACAATGGGATGGAATATTAAGGACTCTGAAAATCCATAACATATAGGCACCATATTCATGAAACTCAGTTGCACCTTATGCAATCCACTGTCAAATACCGTGCCCAAAACATGGTGGGCACTAGATCAATATTTGGAATGAATAAAGTAATGAATGATTGAATATGAAATGTCTAACGCCCTGAACTAGCCAAACACAACTTCACTTCTCTTTCTGAACTGGAGCAAGAAGCAGGGAAAGGTAGACTTGGCTTATCTAGTATTTCACCAGTTTTACCAATAATGCACAGAGGAAAGAAATCACCAAGGAAGAGTCATTGATTTGGCAACATTAAATGTCAGACATCCAAAAACACTATAAAAATTAAAACGCAAATGACAAATTGCCTTTTCACAGGGAAAAAATATCTGCAACATATGATAAAGACAGTATTATGGCTCTATAAAGAGGTCCTGACATCAAAACGATATAGTATATTAACAGGAAAATGGGGAAAGGACATGAATAGGTCTCTCTCTCTCTCACACACACTCACTCACACACTCTCTCTCCTCACAAATAGCTAATAAACACATGATAAAAACACATTATTTATTCGATTACCTCTCCACTAGTAATCAAAGTAATGTACATTAAAACAATAATACAATACCCTTTTCAACTACCAAATTGGGAAAGGTCGCTTGTTGTTGTTTTGCTTTTTAATACCAATACCCAACATTGCAAGGGTGTGAAGGAATATGTTCCCTGCTACATTGCCCATATATACTTAACGGAAGATAATTTGATAAAGTGTGCCAATCGCCTTAAAAATGTGCACTCCGTTTGATCCAGTACCTCTATTCCAGGAATTTATTCAAAGAAATAATCAAAGATGTAACCAATGATTTATATGAAAGACATCCATCACATGTTTATGGCAGGGGAAAACAGAAGTCACCTATAAATCCATCACTAGAAAGAAGGTTAAGTGAACTGTATTACAAGCTGGTAATAGATACTATGCATCACATCTTTAAAAGTCCTTTTATAAGATTATCTAATCATCCATGGAATATTCACTTCATAAATTACGATATTATATACTTCGTGCTAGATCCATACTGCACATAGCTTAATTTTCGTATGATTCTGAAGGCACTTAGGGATGTTGCAGGACTGATTTATAATGATCTTCATAACTACAAACTATAATTTTAATAGACTTCTAGGCTTGTGTACTAATTAGAAGTAGCAGTTAATAAAAATACTAGGCAGCAGGTTTACTGAATGAAGAAATGATGTCACAGATGCTTTGACAATGGCTATCTCAGAGTTTCCCAGGAGACTTCCAAGAAATGTATTCTGTGTTTCCATAAACATCTAGGTCCTGGAGATTCCAATTCTTACACATCCTCAGACACAAATCCTTTGTCAGATCCCTGCTCTAATCTTCTTTTTCTGAATGTGAACACCTTCACCAGAGACCCTAGACAGATTCAGGTGTTCTCACCCTCCATAAGACAGTCTAAAAGGACAGGTATGCAGAGACGGATGCAGCACTGGACCTCGGTGTGCTATAGAAGTCCACTTCAGCAGTTCATGCAGACCTCTTAACATGTTAAGATTTTCATTATAATTGTCACTTTCTTTGTTCCTCCATGCCTAAAACAATGTCTTTTCTGTTCATAAGAACAAATAATAATTTATCCAAAAAATAAGTAGAGATAATTAATTACATAGACTGTACTATAATTAAAAATAAAACAGACCAAAGTCAACATAAGTTTTAAACATTGAGATATCGTGGTAGCATAACAATCCTAACTTAGGATTGTTAAGGGGGACACATCTTGAGTTAATTACTCTAAACCCAACAAAAACCATGCTTCATAGGCCACTCACTCTGAAGAATGTTAAGACGTATTGCTTTTTTTTTTTTTTTTAAAGACAGGGTCTCACTCTGTCTCCCCAGCTGGCGCGCAGTGGCATGATCACAGCTCACTGCAGCTTTGAACTCCTGGCTCAAACAATCCTCACACCTTGGCCTCCTAAGTAGCTGGGATTGTAGGTACATGCCACCACGCCCAGCCTTAAGAGGTATTCTTGATTTAAAAAAAAAAAAAAATCTGTGTTCAAATAAGTTTGGGAAGTTCTAGGGTAAACAAAGCAAAGCTAGTTTCTGTGCTGCCCAACTTCTCAAACTTTAGAAAATGAGGGTGAATGGTTTATCTCAGGAAGCAGGTATCTGATGCAGCATTTCCCTAAAACATCTGAAAGTAAAATGCTTTTAAGTACAGGATCTCATGGGATTCATGTTCCCCAGACCTGGCTTTGGAAAATTTTATTCATATTCCCTCTTCAAAAAGCTTCAAATCCACCAAGATCATGTATTTATTACCCTGAAAGTGCAGTATATTCATTAGGACTATAGCTGGAATCAGACTTCCTGGGTCCAAACCCTGTCACTGCCACTTACTAGCTCAGGCAAGTTATTTAACCTCTCTATATCTCAGTTTCCTTGTTTCTAAAAAGAAGAGAAAAATAGCATCTATCCCATAGATTATGATGCGTAAATGTCTGTACTAATATTTAATCCGTTTACATAATACTTCAACAGATTAAGAAATCACAATAACAAGTCAAACAGACACCAGCACATTTAGGAATAAACACAACTGATCCTCACCCAGTGGGAGAAGCTATCCGTTTTCTAATCATGGGTGATCAGCCTGCCATCAGTCATAGAGCAAATGACCAGCACTAATTAATGCAGCCAGCTGGTTAAGCAGTGGTACATTAGCTAAGAGACTCTACTATGCTATCACTGTGTACCTCAATACTAGTTCCAGAGCAGCACCCAGAAACACCATTTCTTGCCTCATGGTAGCATACTCCAGCCCACACAGTCTTATTTATAGCAAGTCTGTAAGGGTGTTAGTAATTCAGGGAATGCCTCTATTAGCAAGATTTAGCCATAAACTTAAGTCTGCAAAACAGCTCCCAAGAACAATACATGTAATTATTTTACAACTTGAATAGATACAACAGGAGTCATTCATATAATACCCAAGAAGACAAGTTTCCAATAGCCACTGGACATAATGTTGGATAAACATATAGATTTTTCTTCCTTTGTAGTTCATATAAAATATTCATGTAAGAAATAGAGCATTAGCTGATTTAAGCATCACCGTTTTTATTGACTATAACACAGACTCAGAATCCTTTAACTCTAATGGAAATTAAATGCTTTGCATTTAAGATGCTTCCTACTCTGACCTTTAAACACTAAAATAACTAGAAGCACCACAAAACAGAAATGAGAATGTTTCACTGATCCGACGCTACATTTCAGACCTGCAATTGTCAGTAGAAAGATGTTTCACCTTCAAGGTCAGAAAGTACAAGACATCCTGTGAGCGGCTAGAATGGAAAGCACTGCTGAACCACAAGAAGAGCCCTCCACAAGGGAGGCAAGAGAAGACTCACATGGAGGATGTCCTGTGTGCTTTACATCCATCGAACCTGAGTCTCCAACTTGGTCTCTTAATAATTCTCAGTGATACTTGAAATAAGAACTGTGCCTGACAACACAGCTAAGCCTTACTTCATACAAACACAATGTTCCTCAAACTGTAAATACACTCCACGATAGCTGGAAAGCACTAGGAGAGCTAACCCTCTTTCAAAGAAAGACTACATCAAACTTGCCTCCGTCATTTAAAAAGCTACCTACAGCTGGGTCCCTGCCATTTGAATTTCACAAATCAGCAAAACAAAAACGAAAAGCTGAACAAAACAAACAAACAAATAAGGTTGGGCAATGACCCAAGAGTTTCCAACTTTTAATTTTGCCAAGCAAGGTCATTTTAGAAATTAAAATAACCACCACCGCCTCAAAAACCCTAACATCCACTAGCCGAGAGGTATGCAATCTGGATGCATGACAATCACCTGTGGAGTTCTGGACCTGCAGCAGGAGCAGGCTGCCCCAGGGATCAGCTTCAGTTGTCTCAGGTGGAGTCAGGATGCCATGATTTCTAAAAGTGCTCCAAGTGGGTCTCATGTGCAGCCAGGATTGAGAACAACAATCACTTCATAAAAGAGATATTTCAAAACCAATAAAGTAAGGCTATCATCTCAGATTAGAGGGTGGTCATTATAAATAAATAAAATTCGGCTTATGAAAAACACCCTATACTAGCTTTGTGTTCCTCGTTTCACCTCTGGCAAAGTAGGATAAACAACCTGTGGACCAGCATTTGGGAACACCTGGTCTAGACTAGCAGACTGCACTTCCCTATCACTCACTCCACTGGGAAGCCCTTACAACCCAGTGTGTGCCTGCTCCACTCCCCTAAACTGGTCCTTCCAAAGCCCACTCCCCTAAACTGGTCCTTGTGTGGCCAAATCCAGTCACTTTTCCTCATTACTCACTTGTACCTCTTTGCAGTATTTCCCAGAGCAGGCTGGTCCTGCCTTCTTGAAACTGTCTTCCTCCTGGCTTCCAAATGCCTTAGCTCTCTCCAAACAATTCACCGTTCCCCAAACACATCTTGCAAATCCCTTCTTTTAGTTTTGCTCATGCTGTTCCCTCTTCCCAGAATTCCATTCTCCCTTCTCCATAGATCCAAATCCTACATCTATTTCAAGGACAAAGTCAAATGCTACCCACCCACTATGCCCATCCGTGTTCCATGCATGGGTCTACAGGGAATCCAGTAGAATATAAAGTGCAGTTTTACTTCCAGTGGGTGAGATGAGGTCATAAGGAAAAAGCCACAAGGTTAAAAGCCATGAAGACTGAAAATGTTGGAAAGCAAAGTATGAGATGGACTGAGGCAGGTGGTTCAGAACCAAGATGGTTAGTAATGTCTGCTGGAGTAAGAAATGTGTTATAAGAACTAATCTAGGTACTACTTCTAACTAGCTTGTGGCAACAGCTACCTCTTTTTTAGTGGTTTTCTAGGCGCTGCCTAGACACAAGAGGAACACGACATCCATTATCTCATTTAACCCTCACAACAGCTCCAGGAGGAATGCATTACCATTCCCACTTACAAATGCGGTCTACACTAACAATGCAGTTAAGAGAGTTGCCCAGGAGCACCTGGCTAACAGGTGACTGAGCTAGGATTTGCACCCACCCTTTTGCAATTCCAAAGCCTGTGATAGATCTCTCTGTTACAGTCTACTGCCTCTTTAATGGTAACTTCTCTAGCCCACTTGCTTTTCTTCTCCAAAAATTGAAGGGTTTGGTCTCAGTGATTCCCATGGTCCACACTCCAAATCTAACATTCTGCATGTTTGTAAAAAGAAAAAAAAATACAGCAGACAGCCATGAACAAAGAAAAATAAAAGAAAGTAAGGCAGTGATAACAGACACAGAGAAACGTCAGAAAAAAAACAAGATGTTCTTTGTGGCCCCCACTAGCCCAGACTCCCTTGTGGATTTTTCTGACTGTTTTAAGTATTTGTCCCACTCTGAGATGGGTATAAGGTAACTTTATATTGTATTGAGTTTTCCTTCCAAATCTCATCTCAAAATGCCCTGAGGACCTAGAGAAAACCATCATGGAAATAAAAGTACAGGCAGGAAAAAAAAAAAAAAAAAAGAGGTGAGAACACATAAGAAAAGCAAGCTGTAGGGTTTTCATTTTAAATTGAGAAAGGGGATGGATGATAATGATCAAATGAAGTCATTCAAAAGGGTGTTTTCCAAAGAAAAAGAATAAATGAGTGAGAAGAGAAAGGAAAAAGTAAGCAGAATGACCTTGATTTAGCAACTGATCTTCACTGATTTCCTGTCACCTTCTTACTTGATTCTGGGGAAAGTCACAATCCACAGTGTGTGACATTAAAGCCTACCCTTAATGAAATTAGTAGATTAGCAAAAATGTCACTGAAGCACAAAGGAGGAGGGAAATATCTTGGAAGAAACGCTACCTCCTTTGTTCTTTATAAAAACCAGCAAGAAAAACAAGAACTCAGAAATATTCAGGATAGCAAATGTCATCTGTTATTGTTTTCTAGAAAAGGTCCTTTAGAGAACAGTAAGTTATGAACCATCACCCTTCTAAGATCTGATGAAGAATTTTGTGAAGCCATCAAATCCAGTACTTTTGTATACTAGGACCTCAAAAACACTGGGGTTTCACAGTGTCAGTGTTGACAGTATTTGGTTTTAGGGACCAAGGCCCAGTTTTGAGACTTTTTCCAAAGACTTTGTAAACGCTTCCAAAAAAAGAAAAAAAACAAATGCACACAGATGCTATGATACCTGTCCCCCCTCCCTCTAGCATCATTCACACCGTTTCTAACCTCTGACTATTGTGTTGTTCTGAAGGAGGAATATTTCCCCACACAAGCAGTTGCTGACTTTTTTTCAAGTGCAGTTTAAGGATACCTAATTTTTTTTTTTTTTTTTTTTTTGAGATGGAGTCGCGCTCTGTCACCCAGGCCGGAGTGCAGTGGCAAAATCTTGGCTCACTGCAGCCTTTGCCTCCTGGATTCAAGTGATTCACCTGCCTCGCCCTCCCGAGTAGCTGGGATTACAGGCATGCGCCACTATGTCCGGCTAATTTTTTTTTTTTTTTTTTTGTATTTTTAGTAGTGATGGGGTTTCACCATGTTGGCCAGGCTGGTCTCAGACTCCGGGCCTCATGTGATCCGTAGAACACTTAATCTTAAAGATGATGTCAGAAATGAGACAACCAACTCCCTAACCAAGGAAAGTCTATATCACTTTGGACATGTGGGACTGGGACAGAGAGGTGCCAAAAAAACTTGCTCACATGAGGCATCTGTGTGTAGGAAGCTTTCCTAAAGGTTTGGGAAGATCTAAAATTTCTGTATACATATATACATGTGTATATATATATATATATATATACACATATACAGAGTATGTATATATATATCTCTAACTTATGGAGAGCGCCATATAAAATATTAGACTTGGAAGATATTAGATATTAGATATCACTGAATCCAATTTTGCTGATGGGGAAACACCACATGATAGGCCCAAAACCAAGATCACGCAGATGCTATGTGACGAAGTCCCCTGCCCAGCAACACTCCCAACTCAGAATTTAGTTCTCTATTCCCGACTGATGCCCAGAGCACCAGTTAGCTACCTGCCTAGCTCCAGAATGTATTAGCTCAGTTTTACATGTTTTAGAAAAGAAGGTACTACAAAAGACATTTTCCAATCTTTCTGTTTTGTACACAATATTTGTTCCTTATTTCAGAAGAGTAGAATTGATTGAGGTTTTTTCCTCCAGAAAGCGGATAATTAAACAACAAGGTAAAATTTTTATTATCTTAACACCCCTTGAGAAGGAAACTGTCTTGTTTACAAGGTGGGAAAAAAAAACAACTTGATGAGCTTCTTGGGCTTGGAAGGTGAGACCCTGCAGGAACGGGTCATTCCCAGTAGGAAGTTGACTAAAGAAAGCTCAAGAACTCTGAGTGAGAACTCATGAGGAATGTGGGGGTTGAGGATGAAAGGGAAGAGAGAAAATGGATAGACGGGCGCAGAAGGCTGGGGGATTTAAAGTTTTTAGAATTGGCCAGGAACTTTTCAGAACAAGGAGGCAGGGTTTCCCTTGTAAAGCCATCTGCTTCACTGCAAGGCAAACCCTTAGGATTCCCCAACCCTCATTAGAGTCTTCTCTGTACTTGTGAATGGTGAGTTCAGGTGGGTGGTTTGAAGGAATTAAAAGGATTAGGGCAGGGCACGGTGGCTCAGGCCTATAATCCCAGCAATTTGGGAGGCCAAAGCGGGCAGATCACTTGAGGTCACAAGTTTGAAACCAGCCTGGCCAACACGGTGAAACCCCGTCTCTACTGAAAATACAAAAATTAGCAAGGCACGGTGGCGCGTGCCTGTAATCCCAGCTACTCGCAGGCTTGCAGACTGAGGCAGGAGAATCACTTGAACCCGGGAGGCAGAGGTTGCAGTGAGCCAAGATCATGCCACCGCACTCCAGCCTAAGCGACAGAGTGAGACTGTCTCAAAAAAGAAAAAGAAAAAGGACTGCCGAGGCGGGCGGATCACGAGGTCAGGAGATAGAGACCATCCTGGCTAACACGGTGAAACGCCGTCTCTACTAAAAATACAAAAAATTAGCCGGGCGTGGTGGCAGGCGCCTGTAGTCCCAGCTACTCGGGAGGCTGAGGCAGGAGAATGGCGTGAACCCGGGAGGCGGAGTTTGTAGTGAGCCGAGATCACGCCACTGCACTCCAGCCTGGACGACAGAGCGAGACTCCGTCTCAAAAAAAAAAAAAAAAAAAAATGAAAAAAGAAAAAGGACTGAACTCCACATCTACCTAGATAGACCTATGAAGAACAGGAACAAAGAGTCCCTACCTTGAGCTAGTTCAGTGAAGCAAGAGCTCAAAGACAGAAACTAGAACATAAGTGCCTGAGGAATTTACAGGAATCGTGAACATTACACCTCCAGCAGCAGGCAACAGGAGGGCTGGAGCCAATCTAAGTAGGTCTTAAGGGGCCAAAAGACCTCATCCGACACCTGGGTGTGCGAAAGCAAAGGTTAACAAAACTGTTACCCCAAAAATGAAGAATACGAAGCAGCAGCAAAGTATAACTGCATCCTGGTAGGTGCCTGATCCTTTACAATTAGATTCGTGAAGAAAGATGCAGTGAGCGCTGATCCCTTTGAGGCAGCGGAGGGCTAGGGGGCCTTAAGAAAGAAGAGTGCAGGGCAGAGTGGAGAGCAAATGTCAGACCTGCCCTGAATTTCAGGGGCTGCCAACTCTGGGGAGCTTTGCTCCGCTGCGCGGATTACAACACAACATAAGCAAAGGGGGTAGTTTGAGTTCCAGCTTCCCCATCTACATCCACCTGTCCCTAAGAGAGGAGATGATAGGATTCGGACCAAAGATGATTTGAAAACAGAGGCACCCAATGGAAAGCCCGGGGTCAAGGCAGCGGCCCCTCCCCTGCACATGCACACTGGTGTTGCCATATGGCCCGTGCACGTGTGAAGCATAAGTCGCAGCCGGCAGGAACCCCCTCCCCACCCAGCCATCCTGCAAGCCAGCCAAGCAAATGAAAGCCACACTCGGTTCCTAACAGGAATGCAAACAGCGGGTGTGTTGGGGCCGTGGGATTCTGGATTAATTTTTTTCCCTCTTCTCTGTAGGCCAGTTTTGGGGGGAGCAACATGCCTTTGTTATATTCACAACAACAAAAATCTATAATCAAATTGTAATTGTGTTACTAGAGTAAAAAAGGGAGGCTCATCACAGTGGCCATTTTTCATTCTTTGACTGTTGTAGTAATGAGTTAGCTTTGCTCCAACTGCCAGAATCATTCAAGGAAGTGATACATACACATGGGTAATAATGAATGGCCTTACTTGGAGAACCCATTAACCTTCCTATAGTAGACCAGGTCCACAAGCCCATTAACATAGAGCCTTCCTCTTCTAAAAATGGGGATAACAAGACCTGGAACATGGATAAAACACTATTCCTAGTAGAGCTTTTGCTTTTTTTTTTTTTTTTTTTTTTTTGAGACAGACTGGCTCTGTTGCCCAGGCTGGAGTGCAGTGGCGCAGTCTCAGCTCACTGCAACCTCCACCTCCTGGGTTCAAGCGATTCTCCTGCATCAGCCTATTGAGTAGCTGGGACTACAGGTGCCCGCCACCACGCCTGGCTAATTTTTGTATTTTTAGTAGAGACGGGGTTTCACCATGTTGGCCAGGATGTTCTCTATCTGTCAACCTTGTGATCCACCCACCTCGGCCTCCCAAAGTGCTGGGATTACAGGCATTAGCCACTGCGCCCAGACAGCTTTTGATTCTTTAGAAGCAGTGTATTATGTTAAAAAAAAAAAAAAAAAGTGTAGGGAAATAACATAAAAGACATTACTAGAGGATATTGAATCTGGAATTTTTTTGTTAGTCTATTACAGCAGCTGTTTTTAATTCTGTTACTCAAAACCACTGCTTAATAATTTTGTAGCTCAAAATAATCTTGGTCATTCTGTAATGTCTTTTTTGTTATCTCGCTACACAACCCCTCCCACAAACCTAATTTGGTTTTCTGTTATATTCTTTGGCAGCAATGCATTTATGGTATTTATTCTGTTTACACCAATGCTTTAGTGATTCTCTATTTTTATTTCTCACTCCCCTTTTCTGGATTGGAACATCCTGAGGGCAAGAATATTTATTCTGTTCACTACTATTTTCTTCATTCCTATTACCAAGACAGGTGTTGAATAATGGTTTCATATAAGCCAAAACAAAAACAATATAACAAAATGAAAATAAAACATTTTCTGGGTTATTTTATCTGACTTTTTTTCTTATCTTTTGAAATAACTTTTTTTTTTTTTTTTTTGAGACAGAGTCTCACTCTGTCGCCCAGGCTGGAGTGCAGTGGTGCGATCTTGGCTCACTGCAACCTCCACCTCCCAGGTTCAAGCAAGTTTCCTGCCTCAGCCTCCCGAGTAGCTGGGATTACAGGCATGCCACCATGCCCAGCTAATTTTTTGTATTTTTATTAGAGACCGGTTTCACCATGTTGGCCAGGCTGGTCTCAAACTCCTGACCTCAGGTGATCCGCCTGCCTCAGCCTCCCAAAGTGCTGGGAATACAGGCGTGAGCCACTGTGCCCAGCTTTAAATAACTTTTATTTTGTTTTTCATTATTGTTGTGATTATAAACACCTTATATAGTTTTTGTTTGTTTTACCTGAATCTTGCTATGGTATTGTCTATTCACGACCTTCATCTCTTTTTCTTTTTATTTTTTTCCATGAATTGTCTGTACTTATCTGACTTTAAATGAAAGGTTTTTGTTTTGTTTTGTTTGTTTGTTTTGAGATGGAGTCTCGCTCTGTCGCCCAGGCTGGAGTGCAATTGTGTGATCTTGGCTCACTGCAACAACCTCCCCCTCCTGGGTTCAAGCGATTCTCCTGCCTCAGTCTCCCACGTGGCTGGGATTACGGGCGCCTGCCACCACGCCTGGCTAATTTTGTATCTTTAGTAGAGATGAGGTTTCACCATGTTGCCCGGGCTGGTCTCAAACTCCTAACCTCAAGTGATCCACCCACCTCGGCCTCCCAAAGTGCTGGGATTAAAGACATGAGCCACTGTGCCTGGCCTAAATGAAGATTTTATTGAAACTCTTTCACCAAGTAAATCCTTTTTATGTGCCTCACATAGCTTTTCACCTTCTCATGGGTACAGGAGATTTAAAGGATCCATTCCACCCTCCCTGAGATTCTGCAAATATTAACTTCATTTAGCAACAAACAGTATAGGCCATGTCAGACGTCTGACACAGAGGCCCACATTTCAAATAATTATCACTAATTTCTATGGGTGCATGAACCTGGTGACCTCAAATCCCATTGAAAATAAAATACCTAAATCAGTGGTTATGAAATCTGTTTTCATCATGGCCCCCTTGGAAAGCCGAATGCTTAGAAACTTCCTGTCTCCTGGAAAAACAAAGGTATGGTATACACTAGATTTAAACATATAATTTCAAGGATTTATAGCTCTCTCCTCAAGAACAGTGTTTTTTCAAAGTATGAACTGTGACCTACTAATGGGTGATGAAATCAATTTAGTGGGTCATGAGCAACTTGGAAGAAAAAGAAAGAAAGGGAGGAAGAGAAGGAGGAGAAGCAAAGGGAAAAGCAGAGGAAAAAAGTATGGAAGAGAGGTCATGTATTATTTCCTCACCCTTTTTATCAGTTGTAGGTGTGGGTGTTATGTCTGTGTGTGTGTCTGTGTGTGTCCCTTTGCGTGTCGGTGTGTGTCCATGTCTGCATGTCTGTCCATGCGTGTCTGTGTGTCTGTGCGTGTGTGTGTCTGCGTGTCTGTCCATGTGTGTCTGTGTGTCTATGTGTGTCTGATGTGTGTCTGTTTCTGCGTCTGTGTCCCTGTGTGTGTCTGCATGTATGTCTCTGTGTGCGTGTCTGTGTGTCTGTGTGTCCATGTCCATGTGTGTCCCTGTATGTGTCTGTCTGCATGTGTCTGTGTGTGTCTGTCTGCGTGTCTGCATGTGTGTGTCCGTGTGTGTCTGTGTCCGTGTATGCGTGTGTGTGTGTGTGTGTCTGTGTCTGTGTGTGTCTGTGTCTGTGTGTGTGTCTGCATATGTGTGTTTGTGTCTGTGTCTGCATGTGTGGGTGCGTGTGTCTGTGTATGTCTGTGTGTGTGTATGCACACGCATGCTGGGTCAAAATGTAAAATGTAGTTCTTATTGTACATTATCAAAATAATTTAGAAGAGACTACCCTAGGGGTTCATGGACCCCAAGCCAAATGACTAAGGATGAAACCATAATCTTACTCTGTTGTCAAGATCCTCAGAAAAGAGTATTGCCTCTCGTGTGAGCTTTAACCAGGGGGGAGTATGTGACAAGACATAGGCGTGAAACAAAAAGCCAAATTAGAGGTACTCCAAGAAAGTAAGCTCTGTGGGTGCAGGGTACAAGGACTAGAGCAGGGCCCTAGCAGCAAGAGGAAGTCCAACTTCATGCCACAAGCCAAAGGTCACCAAGTCAACTGGTTCGGAAGCTAGGGGGGGTGGCAGGAGTGAGCCAAGCACACCTGGGAGGATGCACCCCACATAAGGGGCAAAGCTGTCCCTCTGCTCCAGCTGCTCCCACGGGGGAATTCAGGAGCCAGGGGCCAGGGCTTCTGGTTTTCAAAGATAAGCCAGAAACCTGGATCCTTATATGGAATCCTCTGATTTTTAATATAGGCAAGCAAAGCCAAAGGGAATTGTTTTTAAATATGATGCAGGCTAACACTGTAAGGAAAGAATACAGATCTGTGAGATGGACACAGATTTCAAGCCTTAGGCTGAAGAGGGATATATGATTTGCTTTATGATTAGAAAGAGCCCTGGAGGACAGACTTAGGCGAAAGTACAGAGGGAGAAGGACCACAAGGCGACCAGAAATAGGAGGCTACAGAAATCATCCAGATGAGAGACCACAGGGGCCTGAGTAGAGGCTGTAAGAGGAGGGAGCAGGTGCAGGAAACATTAAGGAGACAGAACTGACAGGACCAATCAGATATGCAGGGTGAAGGAGGAGGAGGAGTCTAGGATGACTCTGTGGTTTCTGGCTTAAGCGGCCAAGCAGACAGAAGCTCCATTCACCAAGACTAGGAATACAGCAGGATGGCCAGGTCAGGGGATCAGGCTGGGAGACAGCTGAGTGTGAGGTGACTAGAGACCACCTAGCTGAAGTGTCCATAAGAGGGAACAGGGCTGGAGTGCAGAAGAGTCTATGCTGGAGTTGTAACATTGTGAGTCACTGACCCCTCGATGCTGTAAGCTAGAAGACGAGAAGGCTAGAACATATCTTGGCCCCTGGCTCCTAAATTCCCCCACGGGAACAACTGGCTGGAGCAGAGGGACAGCTGTGCCCCTTATGTGGGGTGCACCCTCCCATGTGTGCTTGGCTCACTCATGCCACCCACCTGGCTTCCGCATCTTTGAGTTGGTGACCTTTGGCTTGTGGCATGAAGTTGGACCTCCTCTTGCTGCTAGGGCCCTGCTCTAGTCCCAGAACTTTCTAGAGCGCCATGGCTCATGCCTATAATCCCAGCACCTTGGGAGGCTGAGGCAGGCAGAGGCAAGACCCCCATCTCTACAAAAAATTAGCTGGGCATTGTGGCATGTGCCTGTAGTCCCAGCTACTGAGGAGACTGAGGTGGGAGGATCGGTTGAACCCAGTAGGTCAAGACTGCAGTGAGCCATAATCATGCCACTGCACTCCAGCCTTGGTGACAGAGTAAGACCTGTCTAAAAAAAAAAAGCTAGGACAGAACCTGACAGCACACCCACATTTAAGGAGTGAACAGGTGAAAAAGGTACCACAAAAGCCATCTAAGGTGGACTGGGTGTCTGGAGGGAGGTTAAAAGGCTCAAGGAGACTCATTCAGAAGAGCCGTGTATGGAAATTGGAAATGATACTGATGGGGAACCTATGAATAGATATAATATATAAAATATATAATAGATATAAAATATGATAAAATGTTCTGACCAACACCTTCAAATATATGTATATTTTATATCTATTATATATTTTATATATAAATATATTTTATATATTGTATAAATATAATGTATTTATATATACTATATTAATATATAATACATATCATATGAGATATATTTTACATATATATATATATAATATGAGCCACAGCCACGCTTACTCACACCTTCACCCTTTGTGGCCAGATCATACTACAGAGACAACGGATGTGAAAAGCCTCTGTAATGCCCACAGCAATACATGCCCATCAGACACAATTGCTTCATCTCATCCTTAGACCTGGGACGCAGCTCATGGGGCAGAGGAAAGGCAGATACAGTCATGGAGAGCATTCAGCTTAGCAGTGGACAGGAGCACAGGCCTTGGGTTCAGAAGGACAGATCCAACATTATGCTATGTGGTCCTGGGCAAGTTATATCACCTCTCTAAGCCTCGGCTTCCCCATTTGCAAAATGTGAATAATGACAGTTCTTACCTCATAAGAGGTCTGTGAAGATTAAATGCCATATAAGCATCTCAGGCACCCTGCACAGTGTCTGGATCATGGGAAATGCTGGCAGAATAAGTGGAAACTATTACTATTACTATAATTTGGATGAAACAGAGTTTTTCAGCAAAGACATTCTACAGTTTTAGGTAATTCAAGTAAGAACAGTTTTAAGATAATTTTAATCCACAATTTCTACTATGTGCTGTGGGTAAGAATATATTTCAGAAGCAAAATGCCAACTTTGCTTTAAAAGATTCTGTTGCTGGTACATGATTCTCTAAGACCTGCTCTGGTAAAAATCAATGACTCAGAAGTTCCCACAAGACCCCTAGCATTATCCTAGACCATGAGGTCCCAAGTCACAGACACTCAGTAGAAGTTGTTATTTCAGACAAGTTCTTACCATTAGGGACACCAGCAGTCCATTCCCATTGTAACCCAGGGTAAAGTGGATGCTAAATTTGATAGCCCAGTTCATTTAGTTTCTGTACCACTTATTTTGTGCCTGGATACTTAAGCTTTCATATTCAATTAGCTATTTTCATGCAACCCTGTCCTTACTTATATACCTTCAAAGCACTACTGGTATCACTTTGGAAACCTTACCTAGCATTGGTCTTACTTAACACATCATGCATGTTTTGTAAATATGTGATGGGTTGATTTCTACACATTTGTAGGTACCAATGACTCTTAAAGATGTGCTGTACGTGAAAGGTCAGAAGCTAACAAGACTGTTCTAGAAATTATTTTTCTATTAATTAATAATAAACATTGAACATATTATTAAACATCTCTCTTAAAGATGGCTTGAGATAAGCAACTTACTGGTGAGGAATTAAAAGTCGATTTCCTAGCAGTATGAGCGGAGTCAGCTCCTTTCTAGCAAGGGCTGGCTTCACAACACCGTTAGCTAAAAAGCTGAGTCCACAAAGTGGAGGTGCCACAGCAAAGAGAAGCGGAGTGCTACAAGAATCTGACCCAAACATGGCCATCTCCTCCTATCTTCTTCATCTTCGTCCTTCTGAATTCACAAAACTGAGTGAGTACAATCTGGAACCATTTCCAAGGTTTGGGAAGGGATTTAAAAAAAATTAAAAAAGCCCAAGGTAGGCACAGGTGACTCAGAAGAGATCATCAGTCAGCGTGCAAAGCCAAAATAAACCCTGGAGGGTGAGGGGGAACAGATGGCCAGTTGACAGCGGGCAGAGCTGGGGGATTCAGAACCATGGCCCTTTGGATGACATTCCACCATGGGAGATGCCTCTGTGTAGGAGGTGATGTCCATTTCACCAGATGGCCAGCTCATCTCCTGGAGTCTCAGCCACCAGGAAAGCTTGGGGACTTAGAAGAATTTTATCTTATCTGAAAGAGAAAACTAACAGAGGATAAAAACTGCATATACCACCACTCGTGGGATTAATGAGAACAGAATCCTAAAGAGGACATTTGATTTATCTTCTAGCAGTTCTTCTTTGGTTGCCTGGCAATAAACCAGCAAAATTTAGAATAGAGGAGAAAAGCGTTCCCCTTCTTTCCACCCCAAAACACAAAAATCTCATGACATTATAAACACTAACTGGGCCGGGCGTGGTGACTCACACCTGTAATCCTGGCACTTTGGGAAGCAAAAGCAGGTGGATCACTTGAGGTCAGGAGTTCGAGACAAGCCTGGCCAACATGGTGAAACCCTGTCTCTACTAAAAATACAAAAATTAGCCAGGCGTGGTGGTGCATGCCTATAATCCCAGCTACCTAGGAGGCTGAGGCAGGAGACTTACTTGAACCCGGGAGGTGGAGGTTGCAGTGAGCAGAGATTGTGCCACTGAACTCCAGCCTGGGTGACAGAGCAAGACTCCATTTCAAAAGAAAAAAAAAAAAAAACACTCACTGGAGTGAAAGGAGCCAAAAATTCCTAAAAGAAGAGACAATTCAGACTATAACTGATTATTAAGTCTTTTTAACTAAGACTATATACGAAACACAAAAATTGCCATAATATGTCAACTAGGAACTTGAATCCTAAGATTCAGAGATTGTGATGAATTATGGTTACAAATGTATTTGTAAAAGGCATGTACACACAAAAAGCAAAAGATGAAAGGAAAGATATCAATCCTATCAATGGTTGTGTTAGACTCTTGGGGCTATGGGCGATTTTTCTTCTTCTAACTAGGTTATGAATGGAAGAAGAGTGAGCGAAAATGTGGTAGCAAGTATTGCAGAGCTCTATCCATGGGGAAGGACTGGTGCTTTGTTTCTCTGCTTGCTTGTTTTTACTTTCCAACCCATCACCTACCAAACTGTCCTTTTACTATAGCTCATGCCATCTGCACCTTACCATGAGAGTTCAATCACACCCAAACTGGACTAGTTCCTGCTCTATGGGATAGATCCACTGATCACATGCCCAGATGTCCTGCCAATGCCTAATTGCCATAAAAGTTTCTAAGCTTTTAGTTCCTGTACTCAGCTTACCCCAGACTGGTTATAAGCCATGTGGAGCAGCAGCATTGGTATAGAGTGGATGCAGGCCTGATGTTACCTTTTTTTTTTTTTTACATTTTTGAACAATATTAACATATGATGTTACTATCTAATAGCTAACCACCAGGCCAGGTGTGGTGGCTCATATCTGTAATCCCAGCACTTTGGGAGGCTGAGGCAGGCAGATCACTTGAGGTCAGGAGTTTAAGAGCAGCCTGGCCTACATGGCGAAACCCCGTCTCTACTAAAAATACAAAAATTAGCCAGGCATGGTGGCAGGCACCTGTAATCCCAGCTACACGGGAGGCTGAGGCAGGAGAATTCTTGAACCCGGGAGGTGAGGCTGCAGTGAGCCGAGATTGTGCCACTGCACTCCAGCCTAGGCAACCATAAGACTCTATCTCAAAAAAAGAAAAAAAAAAAAAAAAAAGGCCAACCACCAAATTGGAACTTTCAGTGTTCCAACCTGATTTAAAAAAAACAAATAAACAAAAAAAACTATATGATTTTTCCTTTCAAAAATTTCCTTTATTATTATTAAAAGATTACCTTGTAATAAATTTTTTAAATAGAAAAAAATGTTTTCACTTTTGTGTGTGTGTGTGTGTGTGTGTGTGTGTGTGTGTGTGTGTGTGTGAGATGGAGTCTCGCTCTGTCGCCCAGGCTGGAGTGCAGTGGCGCGATCTTGGCTCACCGCAACCTCCGCCTCCCAAGTTCAAGAGATTCTCCTGCCTCAGCCTCCCGAGTAGCTGGGACTACAGGCGCCCGCCACCACGTCCGGCTAATTTTTGTAGTTTTTTTAGTAGAGACGGGGTTTCACCATATTGGCCAGGCTGGTGTCGAACTCCTGACCTTGTGATCCGCCCACCTTGGTCTCCCAAAATGCTGGGATTACAGGCGTGAGCCACCGCGCCCAGCCTAAAATGTTTTCACTTTTAAACAAATTATGATAAAATTTAGAAAACAGAGGAGAGCTTAAACATTAATTCATTTTTGAATTTTTTTTTTTTTTTTGACACAGAGTCTCACCTCATCACCAAGGCTGGAGTGCAATGGCACAACCCCAGCTCACTGCAACCTCTGCCTCCCAGGTTCAAACGATTCTCCTGCCTCAGCCTCCTAAGTAGCTGGGACTACAGGCGCCTGCCACCACGTCCGGCTAATTTTTGTATTTTTTTTAGTAGAGACGGGGTTTCACCATATTGGCCAGGCTGGTGTCGAACCCCTGACCTTGTGATCCACCCACCTTGGTCTCCCAAAATGCTGGGATTGCAGGCGTGAGCTACCGCGCCCAACCTAAAACGTTTTCACTTTTAAACAAATTATGATAAAATTTAGAAAACAGAGGAGAGCTTAAAACAAACATTAATTCATTTTTGGAATTTTTTTTTTTTTTTGGACACAGAGTCTCACTTTGTCACCAAGGCTGGAGTGCAATGGCGCAACCTCGGCTCACTGCAACCTCTGCCTCCCAGGTTCAAACAATTCTCCTGCCTCAGCCTCCCAAGTAGCTGGGACTACAGGTGTGCACCACCATGCTTTGCTAATTTTTCTATTTTCCGTAGAGACAGTTTCATCATGTTGGCCAGGCTGGTCTCAAACTCCTGACCTCAGGTGATCCACCTGCCTTAGCCTCCCAAAGTGCTAGCTACCATGACCAGCCATTTTTTTGGAAGCTTTTAAATGAAAGAGAAAAAAAAAGAAAGTTAATGCTATTGATAAGTTAAAGGGAGAAGAGTAAGTTCAGCTGAGTCCCTTCACTCTACCTACTTTAGGCTGTGTCCTAGTTACGCAATGCCATAAGAAGGATCCCAGACCCCGTCAAGTCAGACTTTCTCCATTCAACCTCTATTCAAGGTCCTCCTTCCGATTAACCCAACTCACTAGAAATTCTACCAGCAAAATCCACATTAATCTCTTCCTCTCACAATACTTCTGTAAATATTGTAGTAATCTATTTATTTTAGTTATGTGTTTATACATCACTATTTTTATTGTAGTTTTCAATCTTCTCATGGATATTTTTCTGGCAAAAGGGATTCAGGCAGCATCTGGAAGAGACCTGCAGCTAAGCTCCTGCAACTCCAGTAGCCCCCTTCAATTAAGGGAAAGGTGGGGTTCCAATGGTCTGATGGTCCTGTAATAGGACATACTTCATGCAAAGGTAATTCACTTCCTGCTGCCCGGAACATGGGTGCTATCACCTTAAGTTGCTCTAGGTGAGGTCTTTAGGCTATCTGGTCCCATAATAACTAGCAAAGACACAACACCAGGGATAACAAGGTATGAGGAATTTTACTTGTATTCCTATGGGGAAAGAAAAAAATACAACCAATTCCTTCCAGTTAACCTCAAACCTGCCCCCAAATAAATCAGAAAGTCACAACAATAACAACAAAGAAATTACACTTCGCATGTACCACCATCAGGACCTCAAACTGCAGGAAAACTATTGGACCTTCTGCCCTCTGTGCTGAGTACGGCGAAAAGATGTCAAGGTGACTTTGAAAATAACACTAACTTTTTTGCCAAACAGAAGACAGCAGACTACAATCCACTTGAAGTACAACTGAGTCCAATTTAATCAGAATTTACTACATACAGGAAAAAAAAATCTTATCTTGAGGTAACAACCATTTGTCTACCGAAACTACAAGAAGTTGAAAACAGCTGTTTTTTTCACCCTAGCAGTCAGCCAATAAGAAAACATGTTACGTTTTCTCCTTACTCATGTAACCAAATACCACCTGTTCTCCAAAAACCTAAGGAAATAAAAAATAAAGCCTTCCTTCTAAAATATGTTAAAGAAATAGCCTTCTTTTCATATTATAGAAAGCCTTCTAAAATATGAAAAAGAAAATGTTACATTTTCTCATCGATATATAGATGAAAGAGAGTTCCAGAAACATCCTGAAAATTAGAGAGAAGAGAAAAAGAAAATAATTTTCACATTTACCTTATGGCTGTTCAAATCTTAGCACCTTTTTCCTGAGATAGCACCCAACCTACTCACAGAGTTAAGCGCGTTATGAACATTAAGTGTTAGCTATTATTATTGCTACAGGCAGAAGGAAGTCATTCATATAATCAACAAAGACTTATTGAGCACCTACTGTGTGCCAGAGACTGCTCTAGGCAGTGAACAAAACAGATTAAGTTCCTGTCCTGCTAGAGTTGACATTATAGTGATTTGAACCTAGGTTTCCTTATCTCCAAAGCCTGTTGCTGTTAAAAGCAGGGATTGCAAACTCAAATACCAAAGGGCCAAGTAGATGAAAGAAATGAATTGGGTCAGGTAACAGCTGGCTGTTCGCCAAACCTGTTACCTCTACTTTCTGGGACCACTCTAAGATTACGTGTTTCAGCCTCTCCCTGCAGGTCACTATGGCCAAGTCACAGAGCACTAACCCATGGAATGTGCACAGAATGCTACACATCACTTAGGGACCTGTTACTCTGTCTGCTTCCATCTGCTGCACGCAGACAAGCAGGGCAGCCTTGGGAGCCACAGACTGAATATGGCAAAGCCACAAAATGGAAGGACCCTGGGTCCCCGAATCACTGCTTTAAAGAGAGCTCTCTGCCCATCAGGAACACTCATTTTGTCTTTATGTGAGTGAGAAATAAACTTCTCTGGCTTTAAGCCATTGTAGATTTGGGGGTTGGTTTGTTACCACAGTTAGCTCATCACAGCCAATATGAGAGTGAAATGGGACAAACAGGAGCCGTGACAGATGCCCCGTCTAAAAGAGGCACCACTACTAAGCTTCAGCCAAGTGTGGCCATCCAGAAATATAGGACCAGTATGGTTAAACTTCTGACTATTTCAAGGGAACCTAGAAATCCTGACTTTTCTTTATGGAAAAGCTCTTGATTTTTAAGTGATGTTTCATTTTGTTTGACAAGTGTTTATTGTTTATTGTTTGTTTATTTATTTATTTATTTATTTATTTATTATTTATGAGTTAGGATCTGGCTCTGTTGTCCAGGCTGGGGTGTAGTGGCATGATCTCAGATCACTGCAGCCTCTGCCTCCTGGGCTCAAGTGATCCTCCCACCTCATCCTCCCTAGTAGCTAGGACTATAGGTGCACACCACCACACCAAGCTAATTTTTGTTTTGTTTTGTTTAGTTTTTGGTAGAGAGGGGGCCTCACCATGTTGCCGAGGCTGCTTTCAAATTTCAGGGCTCAAGCGATCCTCTGGCCTCAGCCTCTCAAAGTGCTGGGATTACAGGTGTGAGCCATTGCGCCCAGCCACAAGTGTTTAATTTTTGAAAACCCATCTGTGGAGAGAAGTTAGTACCTGGCTTGTGATGCCTGTACTCCATCCCACCGCTAGTGCTGTGCTATCCATGCATATTTGTAGGCAGAATGGTCAAAAAGGTTTAAAGAGCAGGAATAACACAACAGGTTTTCAGAGGTACTGTGAGAACATACCAGGAGATTCTCTTCCTTCCTTTATATACACAATTATCCTGTATCTACTATGTATGTGCAAGACCCTGTGCTAAGACAAATAAAACATAATCCCAGCTTTTAAGAGAGCGGCTCTCAAGTTTTCGGGGTTGTCTGCACACCTTCGTACCCTAGACCTTAAACTGACTCCACACTTATCCCACCTTTACACGGTATAAGTAGCACTGCTTCCTGCTCTTCTTCCTGAACATTGTCTTCTATGCCCGGGAGGCAACATGCCTCGGTTGTTCCTTAGTGCTGGCTTGACTTTATAGTATCTTCCTCCCTCTTTCTCTAAGCAAGTTGTCCCACTAGGTACTTAGCTCATTGTTTCTTCTAGTAGACATGGCTAATAACCGTGTGTGTCCTCACTTATAACCAAAATAGTTTTTAACACATTGATCACAGTTGTGAAGGGGTTTCCAGGACCCCATTGTACCCGGGATTACCTTTTGAGAACCACTGCTCTGACGAGTTCACAGTCTGATGAAGGAGACGGGCCAGGAGACCTCAAGGATGGCCCAGGAGACAGAAGCAGAGAAGACGGCATCTAACTCC